>NC_000010.11:919090-1070606 GCF_000001405.40 Homo sapiens | reverse complement strand
AGAGAAAATATTGTCACTTATAAAAATTCACTTCATTTATTTTTAATATTATAAATAAAACAGTAGAAATCAACATATTTAACCTTAGAATTCAAGGAAGTCGTAGCATTTTTCTAAATATCTCTTCTAAATGTCTTTCTAAATATGAATGTGAGTATATACAGTTTAGCTTTGTTTCCTGTTTCTTACATACTATGCAGAACTCTCATATATAAATTTTGTTATTAAAACTTTTTTAAAAGCCAAGCATAACCCAAAAATGTTAGAAAACTGGAAGACAGTTTGCCTATTATTTAGGACAGTTTTTAAAAGCTTTAACTTAATCACAAGCTTCTAGTAACTCTCAACCAAAACAGTCATGTGAGTTATGAAGTTCCCAATTTTTTTTTTTTTTTTTTTGAGACAGAGTCTTGCTCTGTCTCCTAGGCTGGAGTGGAGTTGCACGATCTCAGCTCACTGCAACCTCCATCCCCCAGGTTCAAGCAAGAATCTCGTGCCTCAGCCTCCAGAGTAACTGGGACTATAGGCATGCACCACCATGCCCAGCTAATTTTTGTATTTTTATTAGAGACAGGGTTTCGCCACGTTGACCAGGTTGGTCTCGAACTCCTGACCTCAGGTGATCCACCCACCTCAGCCTCCCAAAGTGCTAGGATTACAGATGTGAGCTATTGTGCCTGGCCTCAACTTTGTATTTTGAAATAACTGCAGATTCACAGGAAGTTGCAAAGATGGTCCATATTTCCCCAGTGGTTACATCTTACATCATTACAGTACAATCTGTTAATTTGTTAGTTAATTTCACTAAACCAACAAACTGACATTAGTATAATGTGTGTATAGTTGTCATTCTGTTACATATATAAATTCCTTTAGGTGCCACATGTTCAAGATACAAAACACTCCACTCACCATACAGATCACCCACACTACCCATTAGTTACCCCAACTCCCTGGCACCATCCCTCAACTCCTGATAACCATTAATCTGTAACCATCTCTACAATTTTGTCATTTTGAGACTGTTATGTAAATATGATCAAAGAGCAGTTACCCTTTTTGAGATTCTTTTTTCCACTCAATTTAATGGTTACGATCCAACCAATTTTCTGCATGTATCAACAGTTTTTTCCTTTTTATTACTAGCTAGTGTCCACAGTATGGACATTTAACCATTTGTTTAACCATTCACCTGCTGCAAAAAAAAAAAAAAAAAATATATATATATATATATATTCTTTCCAATTTTTTTACTATTACTAATAAAGTTGCCATGAACAATAATATACAGGGTTTTATGTGAACCTAAGTTCTCATTTCTTTTGGATAAACAGCCCAAGAATAAGGCTGCTCAGTCACAGGGTAAATGTATATTTAGCTTTAAAAAAAATCTTGATATACGATTCACACACCATGTAAGACACCTATTTAAAGTGCACAATTCAATGGCTCTCAGTATACTCAGGAAGTTGTGCGATCATTACCACAATCAACTGTACATTTTTATCACCCCAAAACGAAGCCCCACACCTATTTGCCCTCACTCCTCATTTCTCCCACCCACTTCCCAGCTAGCCCTAGGCAACCACTAATTTACTTTCTCTCCATATGAATCTGCCTGTTCTGGCCATTTCATAAAAATGGAATCATACAACATACGCTCTGGTCTGTGACAACCAGCTTCTTTCACTTAGCACAACGATTTCAAAGTCCATCTATGTTGTAGCATAGTGGTAATGTATTCCCTTTTATTGCCAAATACAACTGACAGACATTTGGTTGTTTCCATATTTTAGGTTATTATGAAGGTTAAAGTGCAAATTTCTTGTATGTGTATACTTTTATTTCTCTTGGGTATACCTGGAAACAGAATTGCTTATGTTTAATCATGTTTAGTTTTTGTGGTTTTTTTCTAAGAGTGTCAAACTATCAGTATTTTCCAGGGTGGCTGTTTCATTCTACATTATCATCAGGAACACATGAGAGATTCAGTTATCCACATCCTCACCAGCATTTGGTATTGTCATTACTCTTTTATGAAAATTTGTCATACATGAGAAATTTTGTGCCAGGTATACAACACAGTCATCAAGACAGGCTATTTAGGGTGTCCACCACCCCAGTAAAACACTGTTTGTTTTTTTGTTTTTTTGAGACAGAGTCTCGCTGTCGCCCAGGCTGGAGTGCAGTGGCTCAATCTCGGCTCACTGCAACCTCCGCCTCCCGGGTTCACGCCATTCTCCTGCCTCAGGCGCCCGCCACCACGCCCGGCTAATTTTTTGTATTTTTAGTAGAGACGGGGTTTCACAGTGTTAACCAGGATGGTCTCCATCTCCTGACCTCATGATCCACCCGCCTCAGCCTCCCAAAGTGCTGGGATTACAGGCGTCAGCCACCGCGCCCGGCCTAAGATACTGCTTTCTTAAGGATAGTCACCCTACTCTGCTGTCAAACACTGAATGTATTCCTTCTATCATACTGCATGTTTGTACCTTTTAACTCTCTTCTCATCCTCCCTCCGCCCCCGACTCACACCCTTCCCGGTCTCTATTATCTATCTATTTTTCCACTGTTTACCTCCATGTGTTCACATTTTTTAGCTCCCACATGTGAGAACATGAGACATGACTTTTTGTGCCTGGCTTATTTCACTTAAAATAATGGCCTCTGGTTCCATCCATGTTGCTGCGAATGGCATAATTTCATTCTTCTTATGGCTGAATGGTATTGCAGAGTGTGTGTGTGTGTGCGCACCACATTTTATTTATCTAGTCATCCGTCAACAGGCACTTAGGTTGATTCCATACCTTTGCTATTGTGAACAGTGCTGTGTATACCTGCAAGTGCAGGCATCCCTTTGTCACTACTTTTTTATTTAGCTGTTCCGTTAGGTGTGTAATATCTCACTGTGATCTTAATTTGCATTTCCCTGATGGCTAGTGACACTATCTTTTCATGTGCTTGTCATCCACATATCCTCTTCAGTGAGGTGTCTCTTCACACCCATTTTCTAACAGTATTATTCGGGTTTTTTACTGTTGAGATTTAAGAGTTCTTTACATACTCTATAGTATGAATTATATGTCACATAGGTTAAGCTGCAAATCATTTCTCCCAATCTGTTGCTCTTCATTCTAAGAGTTTTTCATGAAGCAACACTTCTTTAATGTTGATAATTTTTTCTATGCATCACACTTTTAAAGTCATGACAAGAACTTTTCATGAATCCCTAGGGGCCAAACATTTTCTCCTGTTTCTCCTGAATTTTTTATAGTTTTCTGTTTCACATCTAAATTTATTACCTATATGGTACTGACCTTTTTATAAGGTGTAAAATTTAAGTCAAGGTTTTTTTGTTGTTTGTTTTCACCTGTGTATCCAATTATCCCAGCCTCATTTGTTGAAGATGATCCATCCTAGATTGAACTGCTTTGGACTTTTGTCAAAAAATCAACTCACTGTACTTGTGTGGGGTTATTTCTTGGTTCTCTATTCTGTTCCACCGATCTACATATTTATCCTTCCACCAACGGCAGTGATATGGTTTGGCTATGTCCCCAGCTAAATCTCATCTTGAATTCCAATGTGTTGTGGGAGGGACCCAGTGGGAGGTAACTGAATCATGGAGGGGCAGGTCTTTCCCGTGCTGTTCTCGTGATAGTAAGTCTCACAAGATCTGATGGTTCTATAAGGGGGAGTTTTCCTGCACAAGCTCTCCCTCTCTGCCTGCCGCCATCCACGCAGAATGTGACTCGCTCCTCTTTGCCTTCTGCCATGATTGTGAGGCCTCCCCAGCCATGTGGAACTGTAAGTCCAATAAACCTCTTTCCTTTGTAAATTGCCCAATCTCAGGTATGTCTTTATCAGCAGCGTGAAAATGGACTAATACAAGCAGTTTCTATTATTGTTCTGTATGTCTTAAAATCAGTTACAGTGATTCCTATTAAATCTTTCTCCATTTTGTTTTATCTATTCTAGTCCTTTGTCCTTCCTTTTACATTTTTGAATAATCTTTTACATATCTACAAAAATCTTGCTGGGATCTTGATAGGAATTGTGTTAAATCTGTACATCAATCTGGGGAGAAATGGTATATTTATTATGCTGAGTCTTTTAATCTATGAATACAGTATTTATTTAGATCTTACTTTCCTCCATGTCAAGGTTTTTTCTGCATTAGTCCTAGTATCGGGCTGGGCGAGGTGGCTCACGCCTATAATCCCAGCACTTTGGGAGGTCAAGGTGGACGGATCACAAGGTCAGGACTTCGAGACCATCCTAGCTAACACGGTGAAACCCCGTCTCTACTAAAAAATACAAAAAATTAGCAGGGCGTGGTGGCAGGCACCTGTAGTCCCAGATACTCAGGAGGCTGAGGCAGGAGAATGGCATCAACCCGGGAGGCGGAGGTTGCAGTGAGCCAAGATCGCGCCACTGCACTCCAACCTGGGTGACAGAGCAAGACTCCGTTTCTAAAAAAAAAAAGTCCTACATATCTTTTCTCCATTTTAGACTAACATCTCTCTTTTTATTTTTTGTGTAAGTTTAAATGATACTGTACTTTTATTTTGGTTTCCACGTTAATTGCTAGTATAAATACAACTGGATTTTATGTATTAAACGTGTACATTCTTGCTGAACCTAAAGTTCAAGATTTTTTGTGGATTCCTTGGGATTTTCTATGTCAACTATTAAGTCATCTAAAAAAAAAAAGGACAGTTTTATTTCTTCCTTTGTGGTTTGTAAGCCTTCTATTTCCTTTTACTACCTTATTGATTTGGCTAGAAATTCCAGTACTATCTTAAATTACTATAGTGACAGCAAACACCCTTGCTTTGCCCTGAATATTCGGGTGAAAATATTGTGTTTCACCATTAACTTTGATGCCAGCTATAGATTTTTTTGTAGGTGCTGTTTATCAAGTTGAAAACGTTTCCCTCTATCATTCATTTTCTGAGTTTCTTTCACGAATGAGTGCTGAATTCTATCATGTTTTTTTCCTAGTAGCTTTTTTTTTTTACCTACTGACAGGACCAATTACACTCATGACTTTCAAACATTGATCCAACCTTGTAGCCACAAAATAAACTGCACTTGTTCATGGTGTATCATTCATTCTCTCTCCCTCTATTCTCTTTTTTGCCTTCTCGTGGGGTAAACATTTTTTATAATTTCATATTTATTTACCTACAGTATTTCTGAGTTTGCCTGTTTTGTATAACTTTTTAGTGGTAGCTCTAGGTTTTACATTATACATTTACAGCTTATTGTAGTCTACTGATTATCAACATTTTACCAGTTCACATAAAGTATACAAATCTTACTTTCCTCTATGCTTCTTTACCTTTCCCCATTTATAACGTAATCACAAATATTTCCTACACATACACTGAGAACCACACCACGGTTATGCTTCAAATTCCAAACACAATTTAGAAAATAAACGAATACTAAATTGACCGATATTTTTGCTGTCCATTCTTTGTTCTTCCCTCCTGATGTTCCCACATTTCTTTTGTCATTTCCTTTCTGTTTGGAGAATTTCCTTTATTTGTTATTTTCATAGAGTAGGTCAGCTGGAGATAAATCATGTGAAGGAAGTTTTCACTTGATATAAAATTCTGAGTTGATAGTCCTTTTCCTTCAGCACCTGAAAAAAATGTCCTGCCACTTCCTTATGCCCTCCACAATTTCTGATAAGATCCACTGTCAGGCCAGGCACAGTGGCTCATGACTGTAATTCCAGCAAGCGTGAGGGAGGCCGAGGCGGGCAGATCACCTGAGGTCAGGAGTTCAAGACCAGCCTGGCTAACATGGTGAAACCCCGTCTCTACTAAAAATACAAAACTAGCCAGGCGTGATGTGGCATGCCTGTAATCCCAGCTACTTGGGAGGCTAGGGCAGAACTGCTTGAACCTGGGAGGCAGAGGTTGTAGTGAGCTGAGATCACACCACTGCACTCCAGCCTGGGTGACAGAGCAAGATTCCATCTCAAAAAAAAAAAAAAAAAAAAAAAAAAAAAAGATCCATTGTCACTCAAATTGTTTCCCACTACAGGTCAAGTGGTATCTCTCTTACTATGCTTCTGTCTTCAGTTTTCAGAAGTTGGCCTGGATGTGTCTTAGCATCTTTGTGTTTATCTTCTCTGGGTTTATGCTGCTTCTTACGTCTGAAGGTGTATGGCTTGCCAAGTTTAGGAAACATACAGCAGTGATTTCTTCAGACACGTTTTCCCCCCACCCCGTCCTTCTCTCTTTCTAGACCTCTGATGACAGATGTTGCATCTTCTGTTAAAGTCCCACGGGCCCCTGAGGCTCTGCTCACTTTTTTCCAGTCTATTTTCTCTCTGCTGTTCAGATTGGGTAACTTCTATTGTTCTATCTTCAAATTGACAGCTTCTTTTGTCTGTCCTCTCCTTTCTGCTGCTAAGCCATCCACTGAATTTATTTCACATATTCTATTTTTCACTTTTGAAATTTTGTGTTTCTTTTTTACATCCTGTATTTTCTTCCTGAGGCTATTTGTCGTTTGTCTCGAATGTTAATTGGTTATTGAAGCATTTCTACAATCGCTGCTTTAAGGTCCTTGTCAAATAATTCTAAACTCTGTGTCATCTCTACGTTGGCATCAGTGGTCTTTTCTTACTGAGGTTGAGATTTTCCTATGAGTGATTTTCCATTGAAATCCTGACATCAGACTCAGGATCTGATGTAAGTCTTCTGTTAGAGCAGGCCTCTGCCAGGTGGATGTGGACGGTGAGGTGGAAGTTGAGATTCCCACTCAGCCTCCACGGACCCCTGCATGAGAAGGAAAGTTCAGCCTCCTGCCGAACTTCCACTCCCACCACCAAGGCTGAATCAGGGCTGCCTCCGTGCTGCTCCCTATACAGTCTCCCCCACACCACAGGGGGGTGGCCTCATGACCACAGGGCAGCAGTAAAGTTCCTGAGTTTTGCAAGGTCCCTCTTATGATACCCTAGCAGAAAGGAGGCTGTGCTCTGTCACCACCCAGCAGAAGTAAAACCCCAACTCCTCAGCCAGTCTTCTCTGACAGCAACCCTGCAGAGAGGAGCATCTCATCCCAGCTTGTCATGAGTGGGAATCTGAAGTACCTGCTCAGCCTCTGATTAGCAGGGTGAGGGTGGTGCTGCAGGGTTTCCTGTGATATTTAGCTGGAGGAAAGTACTTACCGCCGAAAAGTTCTCTGATTAGCAGGGTGAGGGTGGTGCTGCAGGGTTTCCTGTGATATTTAGCTGGAGGAAAGTACTTACCATCGAAAAGTTCTGTGATTTGTAGGCTGCCCCTTTCCTGGTCTTTCAGACACAGAGAGCAGGCTTTTCTTGGGCCTTGTTTTGTCTGAGTCCTTTTATACCTGCGCTGCTAGCTTATCCAGCACAACATATGAGATACATGAGGCAAAAAGAAAACTCACAGAACTAAGTTTGGTGTCATTTCTGTGGTCCCAATGTACGAAGGAAGTCTACCTTCTTTTCTCCATCTTTCAGTCTCTTTTTTTTTTTTTTTAACAGAGTGTCGCTCTGTTCCCCAGGCTGGAGTGCAATGGCACAATCTTGGCTCACTGCAACCTCCACCTCCTGGGTTCAAGCAATTCTCCTACCTCAGCCTCCCAAGTAGCTGGGACTACAGGTGCCCAACAGCACATCTGGCTAATTATTGTATTTTTAGCGGAGACAAGGTTTCACCATATTGACCAGAGTGGTCTCTAACTTGTGACCTTGTGATCTGCCCGCCTCAGCCTCCCAAAGTGCTTGGATTACAGGCGTGAGCCACTGCACCCGGCCCACTCTTACATTTGTTTTATATATGTCCAGTGTTTTTAGATGTACTTCATGGGAGGAATAAGGAAAAATAAGTCTCCATCTTTCCGCAAGCAGAAAGCCAAGAATCATCTTTTATTCTCAAATTGCATATGTGTAGGCCTATTTTTAAAGGAGAAGTAAGTCTTGCTTTACAACATAAAACAGTTACTTTGTAGTTTATGGAGTATGTTTTGTAAAGGAAAAAAAGAAACCACATCAAAAGCCTGTGAAAGCTGTCCTGATATGGCCTCAGAGAAAAAGGGAGACTCTATCTTCAGTTAAATGAAGCAAATAAAACCAGCAAAGGGTTTCCCTTCCCTCTCTTAAGAACTTCATCTGTAGAAACATTCTGATGCATTCCAGACATTCTACAAGTTCGTTACCAAAAATGCAGAGATTACAATATCACCTTTCCTTTCTCATCAAAATTATAAGTTTTGGATCACTGATTTTATCTCACTGGCTATTCCAGCCTCTCCGTAAGTTGCATGGTGTTCTCTTTGGTTTAGCTTGCTTTCTTCGCCACTTCACAAAATAGTCAATACCGCCGGCAATCTTTTTCTGCTGATCAACTACAACCAAATGTATGCATTTCCTACAATCACCTCCCTGGAACTTGGCACCAAATACAGATTTTTTCATACTGGAGTAATCTTATCATCTCTGTATTCACACCCTCCACATTTTTTCCCAGTGTCTGTATTGGTCCTATCACCACTTCCTTCCTTTCACACCACATCCTCCATGGAAACTCAGTCCTTGGCCCCCCCAAAAAAAAAAAAGCTCAAGACCAGAAGTGTTTCAGAATTCAGATGCTTTCAGATTTTGGAATATCCGCATATACATAGTAAGATATCCTAGGGATGGGACCCAAGGCTAAACTCAAAGTTCATTTATGTTTCATGTATACCTCATGCACGTAGCCTGAAGGTAATTTTTTTTTTTTTTTGAGATGACGTCTCCACTGTTGCCCAGGCTGGAGTGCAGTGGTGTTAACCTCGGTTCACTGCAACCTCCATCTCCCAGGTTCCAGCAATTCTCCTGCCTCAGCCTCCCAAGTAGCTGGAATTACAGGCACCCAACACCATGCCCAGCTAATTTTTGTATTTTTAAGAGAGACGGGGTTTCACCATGTTGGCAAGGTGGTTTCGAACTCCTGGCCTCAAGTGGTCTGCCCAGCTCGGCCTCCCAAAATGCTGGGATTACTGGCCTGAGCCACCACAGCAGGCCTCCTGAAGGTAATTTTATTTTGCCCTAGGGGATCCTGAATAAACTATGTTGCGCACCCACATTTTGACTACAACCTGTCTGTCACAAGGTAAGGTGTGGAAATTTCCACTTGTGTCATGTTATGGATTTTGAATTTTTGGATTAGGATGCTCAACCGGCGTAGCATAAATCTTATTTAAATGTTTAATCACCAGTTTAGGGGGTTTTCAGGTTGGTATCATGGGAAGAGGGACAAGGAAGTGGCAGGTGTTTGTAAAACTACTGAAATGGTATACCATGGAATCTAAAATAGACAGGAAGGGAAGTGAAAACAGAAAGAATTAATGGAGAGATACTGGAAGAAAGTTGGTGGACTGGCAGATCTACCAGAGGCTGAAGAGCTACTACAAAGAATTGCTGTAAGGCTCAAATGGATCAATAAATACAAAGAGTCACTAATCCTCATAACATCCCTATGAGACAGAGTTCCCAAATCCAATTAAGAGCCTTTCAACACAGTCATACATCACTTAAGGATGGGGACAGGTTCTGAGAGATGCATCGTTACGTGATTTCGTCACTGTGGGAACATCGCAGAGTACACTTACACAAAGCTAGGTGCACAGCCTACTCCACACCTAGGCTAGATGGCCCAGCCTGCTGCTCCTAGCCTACAACCCTGCACAGCATGTTACTGTACTGAATACTGCAGACAACTGTAACACAATGGTATCTATTTGTGTACCTAAACATATCTACACATAGAAAAGGTACAGTAAAAATAGAGTATTACAATCTTATGGGACCACCATCTTACATGAGGTCTGTTGTTGACCAAAACATCATTTGTTATGTGGCACCCGATTGTATTTAACAGACTAAACACTAATAAACTGATTATAGAACTGTAAAGAGAAAAAACAAACTTCTTCACTCCAAATATAACCTTCTTTAACCTCTATGCACTGTTTTACCTAAATACAAGCAAAGAGAAACCTGAGATTCCAAAACGTAATTATTTTCCTTCAAAATATTCACATTTACCCAATATTATTGGACAGATTACCATATTACAAAGAAGGCTTATGGAGATTAAATGTCCTTCTGGTTTTCAATAAAACATTATTTTCAAGAAACTATAAATAGTCCCCTCTAAAAATTCAATCTCTTTATCCTACCATGGATTTAACAGAATAAACGCTCCTTCTGAACTCCTGACTCATTTAGTCTGTCCAGTTCACCTGCCCTTAGTATATGTTGCCGTGTACGTAATACACCCCACTGCTTGTAAGCAGTCAGAACAACAGGCACACAGCTGTGATGCAGCACAGTGCTCTACACACAGCAGGCACTGGCCAAACATTCGACTAATTAATGAAACCCATAAACACACTGTGTTAGCAAGCTGAATTCCTCATCTTTAGAAATGCTGTAATATTGGGCCAGGCATGATGGCTCATGCCCGTAATCCCAGCCTTTTGGGAGGCCCAGGCAGGCGGATCACCTGAGGTCAGGAGTTTAAGACCAGCCTGGCCAACATGGTGAAGTCCCGTCTCTACTAAAATACAAAAATCAGCTGGGCGTGATGGTACACGCCTCCCATCTACCCTGGAGGCTGAGGCACGAGAATTGCTCCACCCTGGGAGGTGGAGGCAGTGGTGAGCTGAGATCATGCCGCTGCACTCCAGCCTGCGTGACAGAAATGCTGTAATATTAAACAGCATCAATGAACACTTAGCTTTCTGCTCTTTCTCAAAAGATTCTTTTATATATATATTTTTTGAGACAGAGTCTCGCTCTGTCGCCCAGGTTGGAGTGCAGTGGCGCGATCTCGACCCACTGCAACCTCCACCTCCCGGGTTCAACCAATTCTCTGCCTCAGCCTCCTGAGTAGTTGGGGTTACAAGCACCCACCACCACGCCTGGCTAATTTTTTGTATTTTCAGTAGATACGGGGTTTCACCATCCTGGCCAGGCTGGTCTTGAACTCCTGACCTCATGATTCACCTGACCCAGCCTCCCAAAGTGCTGGGATTACAGGCATGAGCCACTGCGCCTGGCCAGATTCTTTTCAATATTTCCAATATTAATTAATTTGTAGCTATAGAAATTATCATTCTCCTAAGTGTGTATAATTTGAGGAAGGCAGATAACATAACCAAAGTAGCTTGAAACAGCAATACGACAAATTCTTTTCTTTTTGACACAGAATCTCGCTCTGTCTCCCCAGGCTGGAGGGCAGTGGCGTGATCTCGGCTAACCGCAACTTCTGCCTCCTGAGTTCAAGTGATTCTCCTGCTTCAGCCTCCTGAGTAGCTGGGACTACAAGTGCCCGCCACCATGCCCAGCTGATTTTTGTATTTTTAGTAGAGACGGGACTTCACCATGTTGGCCAGGGTGGTCTTGGACTGCTGACCTCAGGTGATCTGCCCACCTCGGCTTCCCAAAGTGCTGGGATTACAGGCATGAGCCACCACGCCCTGCCAACAAATTCTTAATTTACACTTTCATTTGAAACAAAAAACACAAAACATTACTTTCAGTTTCATATCCAGTAGGATTTTAAACATTTTTCTTTCATCAAAGCAAAAACACTTGCTTAAGTGGTTAATTTCACAAATGTTAATCACATGCAAAAGAATGGTTAAGGAATATAATGTCCATGTGGCATTAAAAATAAATTGGAGAAATAAATTGAAAATTGCATAAAATGTGATGGAATTTCCACCAGAAGTTTAATCAAGTTTGTAGTAACATTTTATCGTAATAACACTGTTAGACGAATTCCTAGTGGGCTGAGACACCAAATTCAACTTCTGAGCAATATCGAGGAAGAGAATGGTCTCTACAGGCAACCTCAGAAATCTGTCATCAGTATTAACCTGCTTAAAATGTTTTGTCATTGACGAAATGAAGGCATGGAATACATACACCATCAATTCTGTGGATGACAATCAATTAGGAAATACCATTAATCAGATAAATAGCCATCAAGATTTTCAAAAGATCTCAGTAGTTAAAAGAACAACTTTAAACCAAGGATGAAATTCAACAGATGTAAAATCTTTTCCCTGAAAAGAATAAGACAGGATAAATATGAAAACTCTATCTTAGTTTCACCTTGGGGAAAGGGACTTAGGGATTTTAGTTCAGGGCAAATGCCCAAAGTGAACAGCCTAACATAGCTACCCAAAAAGAGGAGGAGGGAAACACACTCACTCAAGATCTCCTGTATACAGCACTTTGCAAAAATGGCTGGCATATATTACATAACGTAACCTTCCCAGTAAGAAAATGAGGCTGATATGAACACCATGTTAGAGGACAGGGAGTCGGGACTTAGGAAGGCCTTGCCCAAGGTCACACTGCTGTTGAGACGTGGCCAGTGCACACGAGTCCCTACTCTGTCTCCTGTGAGCAGTATTAATAGAAAGGCAGCGTCTAAACCCAGGGGATAACAGATCACTCCATTTGTTCCACATTGGTGAGTTCATATTTACATACCGTGTTTAACTCCTGGGACATATCAAAAGCTATTTTGAAAGACTCGAATTTGATCAGGAAAGTAACCAGAACAGTGTGTGTGTCTGCTGGGGTTGGGGGAAGTTCAGAAGACGAAGAAAGTTCCTGGAGATATAACTATCTTGAGCTTTCTCATTCAGAGGTAAATAATTCCTGCAATACTTTTATGACCGTAACTCACAGGCCAACATACTGAATTTAAGAGAAAAACACTTGAACTTCAATAAATGAAACTTCCAAGCAATTAACACTTTTCTATAATGGTATCCGCTTCAAGGGACGAATGTTTTAGCGTTTAAGTTAAATGACAAAATCTCTAAAAACCTGGCAGACCTTAAGCTATTTTCACTCACAACCTGGAAAAATGTATTTATTCAACTTGGTTTAGTAAATGAGTACATTATTATTGTTGCTCTTGTGTTATTCCGGTGAACAGCTGTCTTAAAATGTTTCCCTCCAGCGGTGGCTGCTTTCAGGGGGAAGGGAAGGAAAAGGAAGTCTTCAAAAGGGGAACAATATCATGGCGCTGTGTTAATCACTTCAGCATCCGTCACTCCACACTCACCACCCTTCTTGAAGCCGACCATCCCCACTCTTTGGAGAGAAGAAAGGCCATTCTCCTCTCTGAAGGGCCTCCCAAGTGCTTCCCTGGAGACGCACTTCCCCGGGATGCCCAGGCCGAAGCAAAGGGGGCGGGGAGAGACCCCGGGCCGAACCCTTCTGCCCCCAACCCCTCCAGCGCCCCGACTCTTCCTGGACTCCGACATCTTCTGCACCGCCCCGGGCCCCCATCCCTCCCGCACCCTGGTCCCTCTGGCACCGCCACGGACTACTCCTGCGCCCCGACTTCTCTTGCACCCTGAACCCTTCTGCACCACGGCCCTTCCTGCACCGCCACGGGTCCTCCAGGGACCCGACCCCTCCTGCACCACCACGGACCCTCTGCATTCCAAGCCCACCTGCACCCCATCCGCCACTATGCCCCGACTGCCCCTGCACCCCCTTGAGCCCTGCAGTGTCCCGACTCCTCTTCGGGGCATCCGGGGAACGACTCGGCGCCTGACAGGTAGGAAGATGGCGGCACTCACCTGTCACAGCAGCTGCGCCCGCCACCCCCGGAGCCAGCCCAGGTCGCGCACCGCCAGTGAGTCCCTACGACGCGGCCCCCCGTACTGACCCGAAGACGCGCAGGACACCGCTGTCTCCGCACTGACGCGACCCCACAACCCCAACCTGGCGCTAATGCACTTCCGGTGTCGCCGGAAGTCCCGCCCCAGTCCCGCGCCGCTGGGTTCTCCGGAAGCCGCCCCACACCTCCGCCCCACACCCGGCGGCGCCGGAAGTCACGCCCCGGCTTCCGCCCCGCAGCCCCGAGGGGTCTGGGCGCGCTGAAGACCCCTTCGGCTGCTGGGCCAACGCCCCCACCCTTGGTCACGTACTCCTGCCGCCGAGCGGTTCGCGGGAGGTGGCCTCGGGGGTCGTAGCTACTCACCGGCGGGGCGCTCCGAGTCCATCTGCCCCGTAGCCCGGCAGCCGGGGCGGGAGGGCTGCGAGCCCGGGGCGCGGTCCGCCTGAGGCCTGAGACCCGGGGCCGCCTGCGCTCAGGGCCGCGGTGCCGGCCGCGCGGGAGCCTGGCGGGGACGGCGCGGTCAGTGTTCGGCTCCTCCGCAGTGACTCACCAGCGTCCTGAAGCTTTTGATCACCATTGGCTGGGAAGGAAAAACAGAATCAGCTGTTCCCTGCGAAAGGTGGGACTTGGGCCGCTTTTTTCTTAGAATCTAGGTTGGAAACGTCGCATGATGGTCTTTACGTAAACAGCCGTCTCAACGCTCTACAGAAAGCGCTAACCGCGCATTTGAAGCCCACCTAGAGTAAATCAAGAGCGTGAAAGCATTTTTTTTTTCTGTGTAGGTTAACATTCCTGCTCCTTCCTTTAAAAAGGAAGCTCAAGGCCAGGCGCGGTGGCTCACGCCTGTAATCCCAACACTTTGGGAGGCCGAGGCCGACGTATCACGAGATTAGGAGGTCGAGACCAGCCTGGCCAACATGGTGAAACCCTGTCTTTACTAAAAATACAAAAACTAGCCGGGCGTGGCGGCGCGCGCCTGTAACCCCTGCTACTCGGAAGGCTGAGGCAGGAGAATCGCTTGAACCCGGGAGGCGGAGGTTGCAGTGAGCCGAGATCGCGCCTCTGCACTCCAGCCTGGGACAGAGCGAGCCTCCGTCTCCAAAAAAAAATAAGGAAGCTCAAGATGAAGAGTCAGAAGTGGTAACTTGTTTGTTGCACAAGAAACAAATTTAGCATTCTATTTAGGGGATCCAGATTACCAAAAAAAAAAAAGAAGTGAAGTTATTTCTGCATTAAGTATATTAATAAAACTTTATCACTAAAAACAATTCTGTAAGAGGAACGCCAAGGAAAAAAATATTTGAGTTTTTAGAGAAGTCATTTTTTAAACTTTTAGAGGTTGTGACATTTAAGTAACATAATTTTATTTAGTACCTAGTATGCAAAGACATTGTACTGGGCATGGCAGCAAATAGAAAGCTTTGTAAATCGCAGTGTCCCATCTAATTAACCCGCATTCTAACAGGTGGTTTTATTTTTCTGGACCGCACCACAGTCAGGTAACACCAAGAATATCGCTAATGTAATTTTTTAAGTTGATATATTTAGGATTCCATAAAAGTCACTGAAAATAACTGAGAGCATGACATGTCACAAAACAAGGGAAAGAAATCATTTTGAGGATCAGTCGCTTTACATCTTTTGTAACTAATTTAATCCCCAAAGGAATCCAATAAAGTAAAAGTTATTCTAAATTGAATTTTAAGCATGAGAATGTGGAAATTACTCGTCAAAAGTCAAAAATAATCGTGCAGCAGGGCAAAGACTAAAGGCTGGCATCAGAATCCATATTCTTTTCACTGTTGATGTGCTAGGGCTGCAGGAACAAAATACTGCAAACTAGGCAGCTTAAACAAATTTATTGTCAGAGGTCTGACTGGAAGTCCCAAATCAAGGTATTGGCAGGGTTGATTCCTTCTGAGAGCTGTGATGGGAGCCTGTTAATGCATCTCAGCGTCTAGGCATTCCTTGGCTTGTGGCAGCATGCCCCCGCCAGTCTTCACATGACGTTTTCCATGTCCGTGTCTGTCTGCACACTTAGCGTTCTTTTTATGAGGACATCAGTCATATTGGAGTACAGTAGACGCTACTTTAATATGACCTCATGTTAACTAATCATATCCACAACAACCCTGTTTCCAAATAAGGTCACATTATAAAATACTGGAAGTGAGGTCTTTAACACATGAATTTGAAAGGGGGACACAATTTAACCCATAACACACTGTATCCTGAAATAACTATCCAATGTAATTTTTTTAAAAGACACAAAACTAGCCGAAATTATAAAAGGTTATGATTGCAATCCTGGTATCCAGTTACATTCTCCCTCCTGCAGAAGCTGTGGAGAATCCTGTCTCAGAAAACCAATTTCTATTTTGTCACATGTCCATCTATGCAAAATACATGTACTTTGTCCCTGACATAGGGCAACAATGCTGAATTTACTAAGACTCATTTTTGCGCATGGTTTGATAGGGAATTAAGATTTACTAGGTATTCTGTCATTGTCCTCATTACTGATTATTTTAACTGTGTCTCAAACACTTGGATAGTACACTATAGTGTTATAAGCTGTTTGACATGTCGCTTCCTAAATTCTCAAGTTATATATATGTGTGTATATATGTCATGTAACAGGCACAACTGTTTTCATGTGTATCACTTTATTGCACTTCACAGGTATCATATGTTTCTTACAAAGTGGAGGTTTGTGGCAGCCCTGCATGGAGCAAGTCTGTCAGCACCATCTTTCTAACAGTATGTGCTCACTTCATGTCTCTCTCACATTTTGGTAATTCTTGGAATGTTTCCGTTATTAAATCAGTTATAGTGATCTGTGATTAGTGATCTTTGATATTACTGTCATAATTGCTTGGGGGGCACCATGAACCACCCCTATATAAGACAGCAAACTGAGTCGATAAATGTTTTATGTGTTCTGACCACTGCACTGACCAGCTGCCTCCCTATCTCTCTCCTTCTGCTCAGACCTCCCTATCCTTGAGACACAGCAATACTGAAATTAGGGGCCAGGCATGGTGGTGGCTCATGCCTGTAGTCCCAGCTACTTGGGAGACTGAAGCAGGAGGATTGCTTGAGCCTAGGAGTTCGAGGCTGCAGTGAGCTGTGATCACGCCACTGCACTTCAGCATGGGCAGCAAAGCAAGACCCTGACTCAAAAAAAAAAAAAAATCAGGCAATTAATAGCCCTAAAATGGCTACTGTTTCATAAAAGAATGAGTTGCACATCTCTTACTTTAAATCAAAACTAGAAATGATTAATGATTAAGCATGGTGAGGAAGGCATGTTGAAACAGCTAAGTCGTGAATGCAAAGGAAAAGTTCTTGAAGGAAATTTGAAGTGCTCCTACAGTGAATACACAAATGGTAAGAAAATAAAACAGCTTTATTGCTGATATGGAGAAACTCTGAGTGGTCTGTATAGATTAAACCAGCCACAATATTCTGATAAAGCCTAATCCAGAGTAAGGCCCTAACTCTCTTCAGTTTTCTGAAGGCTGAGAGAGGTAAGGAAGCTACAGAAGAAAAATCTGAAGCTATCAGAGGTTGGTTCATGAGGTTGAAGGAAAGAAGCTGTCTCTATAATACAAAAGTGCAAGATAGGCCAGGCATGGTGGCTTATGCCTGTAATTCCAGCACTTTGGGAGGCCAATGCAAGTGGATCCCTTGAGGTGAGGAGTTCAAGACCAGCCTGGCCAACATGGTGAAACCCTGCCTCCACTAAAAATACAAAAATTAACTGGGTGTGGTGGCACACGCCTGTAGTCCCAGCTACTCAGGAGGCTAAGGCAGGAGGATCACTTGAACCCAGGAGTTGGAGGTTGCTGTAAGCCAAGATCACACCACCACACTCCTGGGTAACAGAGTGAGACTCCATCTCAAAAAAAAAAATGTGCAAGTGCAAGATAAAGCAGCAAGTCATCTAGGAGATCTACCTAAGATCACTGATGAAGACGGCTTTGCTAAACAATAGGTTTTCATTGGAGTTGAAACAACCTTATTTTGGGAAAAGATGCCGCCCAGGACTGTCATAACTAGAGAGGAGAAGTCAAAGCCTGGCTTCAGAGCTCCAAAGGACAGGCTGACCCTTGCTAGGGGGCTAGTGCAGCTGATGACTTTATGTTGAAGCCAGTGCTCATTTATCATTCTGAAAATCCTAGAGTCCTTAAGCGTTATGCTAATTCTAGTCTGCCTCTGCTGTGTAGATAGAACAACAAAGCCTAGATGACAGCACATCTACTTACACAGTGTGGTTTACTAAATATTGTCAGCCCACTGTTGTTGAGACCTACTGCTCAGGAAAAAAAAAAGATTTCGTTTCAAAATATTACTGCTGATTTACAGTGCTCCTGTTCACCCAAGAGCTCTGATGGAGATATACAAGGAGATTCATGTTGATTTCATGCCTGCTAACACAACATCCCTTTTGCAGCCCATAGCTCAAGAAGTCATTTTGACTTTCAAGTCTCATTATTTAAGAAATACATTTTGTAAGGCTATGGCTGCCCGAAGATGTAACTGAATCACTGCACTAGCATAATAAAACATGAATGGATAAGCAGTTGCTTCTTGTGGATGAACAAAGAAAGTGGTCTCTTGAGATGGAACCTAATCCTGGTGAAGATGTGAACACTGTTGAAATGATAACAAAGGATTCAGAATACTCCATAGACTTAGTTTATGAAGTAGCAGCAGGGTTTGAGAGGATTGACTCTAACTTTGGAAGTTTTCCTGGCCGGGTGCGGTGGCTCATGCCTATAATCCCAGCATTTTGAGAGGCCAAGGTGGGCAGATCACAAGGTCAGGAGTTCAAGACCAGCCTGGCCAACATGGTGAAACCCAAGCTCTACTAATAATACAAAAATTAGCCGGGCATGGTGGCACACGCCCATAGTGCCAGCTACTCATGAGGCTGAGGTAGGAGAATTGCTTGAACCCAGGAGGTGGAGGTTACAGTGAGCCAAGATCGCACCACTGCACTTCAGCCTGGGCGAAAGAACGAGACTCTGTCTCAAAAAAAAGTTTTCCTGTGGTTTAAAAAAAATCTTTCATGAAAAGAATTGTCAATCAACGTGACAAATTTCATTATTGTCTTATTTTAAGAAACTGCAACAGCCACCCCAACTTTCAAGCACCACCTTGATCAACAGCCATCAACATTGAGGCAAAACCCTCCACCAGCAAAAAGATTATGACTCATTGAAGGCTCAGCTGATGGTTAGCAGTAAAAAATATTAACTTTAATCATCTCGACCATTCAGTACTCATCTAATATTCTCTATAACAAAATGGGAAATGCACATAAAGCACTTCTGCTACATGCTGAATTATGATTGTTGTCTCCAGGAAAAGAACTTGTGGGAACGTTTGAGTTGTAAGCTGAACTAACTAGCTGCTTTTTTCATGAAATACCGCTTTTACTGGAAAGAACTGACAGATAAACTGAGGTATTCAAACCTAGATATTTGGCAGACATTTTCGTGAAAATAAATATGTTCGTGCCACTTCAAGGAACATAATTCTCAGTACTTGTTGCCAATAATGTTGGAATTTTCATGCAAAAATTCAAATAAAAAACAAACTTAAAACCATCAAGAACTTGGTGACTTTATGTGGAAGCCAGTGCTACAATACTTTAGCTTCCCAATACTTAAAAACTTTTCTGATGAGATTACTAGTGATATTAACAATGTGATTGATATTGAATAATGAAATGTTTTAGCATTTGGAAGATCTGTTTAATTCAGTAAATCAGTATTTTCCAAATGACCAATGCATGACATTTCAACATCACGCACAGGAAAATAGGCATTCGAGGTACAGTCAAAAATAATGAGTTTTAATGTAACAAGTACAAAATGTCCATTGAAGTGGTTTCAAATTCCAAATAGTAATTGGAAAATCCACCACTCGTGTTTTGGGGTAGTAGTATCGAAAAAGAATAACCAAGATAATTTGAAAAGGCTATTAAAAAATACTTCTCAATTTTCAAACTGCATACAGCAGGTGCTCATTCATTTCTTTGTAACATTGATGAGAAAAAGACTCCCAGCCAGGGGCACTGTCTTTGTGGTGTTTACGTGTTCTCGCCACACCTGCATAGGTTTTCTCTGGGTGCTGCAGTTCTTGCCACATCCCAGAGGTGTGCACGTGAGGTGAACTGGTGTGTCTTCACTGTCCCAGTCTGAGTGTGGGTGTGTGAGTGGCCCTGTGATGGAATGGCGTCCTGTCCAGGGCTGGTTCCCTCTTTGTGCCCTGAGCTACTGAAACAGGCTTCAGCTACACATGACCCAGAACTGGAATAATTAAGTAATAATTATCTTTTTATTCATCTTTCTTAAATGTATGTATAGCTCACATTTATTTCAATGTTTAATATTAGAATACTTTGGCCTTTAGAAGCTTAGTGATTTTTTTTTTCCTTGGCCAGAAGTATGCTTTAGGAACTTAATCCTTATTTTTTAGCCTCTGGTAAAATTGGTTTTGCTATACGTTGTTTCACTTAAAAGTCCTGATTCCCAAGAACGCACTGACAGCAGTGAGGACTTGCTGCGCATGCGGGAGGCCAGATTTTCTTATCTGTGTGAAGCCAGACATGAAAGAGATCTGTCAACACATAAAACAAAATCAAAGTCTGTTTTTTGTCTGGAAAAGATTTTTAATAAAAATATAACTTATGTTAGTGTCGTGTGTTTTTTAAGTGAATATTTTAATATGTTTAATTTCTATGTTAGTAAATAGCAGTAGTAAACAACAGTGAGCAAAAGCTTTTAGGTGTCCTCAGTACATTTTAAGAGAGTGCAAGCGTCCTGTGACCAAGAAGTTTGAGAACTGGTGCCCACCAGGTTCATCTCACAAGTTCAGTATTTTAAATTCCACACAAAAGGTAGAGGAAATAGCTGAATTCGCTTCAGCTGCGCATACATTTCACGATTATTTAAAAGTTTAGAGGGCTAGGCGCGGTGGCTCACACCCGGAATCTCAGCACTTCGGTAAGCTGAGCCAGGTGGATCACTTGAGGTCAGGAGTTCCAGACCAGCCTGACCAACATGCGGAAACCCGTCTCTACTAAAAATACGAAATAAGCCGGGCGTGGTGGCGCATGCCTGTAATTCCAGCTACTTGGGAGGCTGAGACGGGACAATTGCCTGAACCCGGGCGGCGGAGGTTGCTGTGAGCGGAGACTGCACCATTGCACTCAAGCCTGGGCAACAAGAATGAAACTGTCTCAAAAAAAAAAAATTTAGAACGTAGTCATGTACCTCGAAAGCGAACACTCCCAACATAGCGTGGAACACCCCACACCCCCGGCGACTTTGCTCCGCCTTGGTCCCGGTCGCAGACACCGCAGAAAGGCCATCGTTCTAGACATACGAGAACTCCCCGTGCAGCCAAACGCTGTAGTCCCAGCGGCGGAACTCGGGGGGGGGGAGGGGGGGGAGTGCCCAACCAGCCAGTCAGCAGTGACGTCCCGCCTTTCCTCCGTTTCCATTGGTCCAGCCATGCGGAGGTCGCTCCCATGGGACGCCGAGCTTCCGGCTGCAGGGCTTGGCGCCCGGGCGCTTTCGGATTGGGAGGGCTTCCTCCATGGAACGCGAGCCTCGAGACGTCTGACGTTAGGCACCGTTCGCAGCGCCTCGGGCTCGCACGGCAGGATCGAAAGCGTGATTGGCTGGCGGCGTCTGTGGTCTCGGGCACCGCCCAGTCGCGGGACGCTGCCTCTGCGGAACTGGGGGTGGGGCGTGTTGACCCCCTTAAAGGCGCCAGAGCCCGCGGTCACGGCTCAGGTTCCCGGTGCTTCGCGCGTCTGCCGTTGTCACAGGCCAGGGAGGTGGCACCACCAGGCGAAGCTTGGCGAGATTGTGTCGTCAAGCGCGTACGGGCGCCAATTGGCCGGGCGATGTGGCGTGGACTGGCGCTGGCGCGAGCGATTGGCTGCGCGGCCCGGGGGCGGGGCCAGTGGGCGGTGCGCGCCGCAGACTGTGCTCAAAGCGGGCGCCATCCGGGACCGGCGGTTGTCTGTGGCCGGAGGCTGATCAGGTACTGTGGACGGGCGGCGGAGTTCGGGAGACAGGGGCAGGGCGGCATCGGGGAGCTGCGGGACGGGGCGGGGAGGAGGCCCGAGGTCTGAGCCACCCGTGAGGTCTCGGCGCGGAGGCCTGGACAGCTGGGGGTGGCGGCGTTGGTCTCCCGAACTGGAGGGAGGCCGGGCCTTCCCGGGCTGTGGTGGGCGCCCGCGCCCCGTGGAAGGCGGAGGCGTGAGTCGGGGCGTCAGAGACGTTGCCATTCTTTGTCAGCGGAAAAGATCGTCGTCTGCGCACAGTCACCTGAGGTTTAGGAACTCGTGGAACTGGAAACCGAGTCGCAGGAGACTAAGAGTTGCGAGTCTCCCCTTAGAGAATTCAGAAACAAGCGTAGACAGCATCGTCAGAAACACGAGCGTGACGACACCGGCCTCCCCGTGCCGAGTCCACGCGTGTGACGCGGGTGCATACACCTGCGTCCGTGCAAGAGGGTGACAGCAACACACTCAAGGCGCTTCTCCTGGGAATGGAGCAGGAGAAGAGATGGGGAGCATCGCATAGATGGAACTAGACCTTTTTCTTGGGTTGGATGATGTGTTCCCGCGTCTACTACATGGTATTCTTTAAACGCATAAATAGACGTATTCATTTTATCTTGTGATTATGCAGCTTAGCTTTAAAATCTGAATTCTGAAAATCCTGAAAGAGCAATTGTCATTACAGCTGGGCGGTGGTGCACGCCTTTAATCCCAGCACTTTGGGAGGCGGAGTCGAAGGCTGCAGTGAGCCGAGATCGCGCCACTGCACTCCAGCTTGGGCGACAGACATAGCAAGACCCAGCCCCATCCCCCCGGAAAAAAAGTCATGTCAAAAAGTCTAGTAATTATGTAGTAACGAAACCTATCTTAGTGATCACCTAATATACAGTTGGCCTACTGTATCCTTGGGGTCCATATCCATGGATTTAACCAACTGCACATTATAAAATATTTGGAAAAAAATTTCATCTGTACTGAACATATACAGACTTATTCTGTAAACAATACAGCACAACTATTTATGTAGGATTTACATGTTTTAGATACTATAAGAGATCATCTACAGATGATAATTTAACGTTCGGCCCGCATCACTTAACAGGGATACTTTGGAGAAGTTCATTGTTAGGTACTTTCATCATTGTGGAAGCAGAGTGCGCTGACGCAGACCTAGACAGTGGAGCAGCTGGGCTGTGTGGTGTAGACAGACGGTGGAGCAGCTGGGCTGTGTGGTGTAGACAGTGGAGCAGCTGGGCTGTGTGGTGTAGACAAAGGACCAGACAGTGGAGCAGCTGGGCTGTGTGGTGTAGACAGTGGAGCAGCTGGGCTGTGTGGTGTAGACAGTAGACAGTGGAGCAGCTGGGCTGTGTGGTGTAGACAGTGGAGCAGCTGGGCTGTGTGGTGTAGACAGTGGAGCAGCTGGGCTGTGTGGTGTAGACAGTGGAGCAGCTGGGCTGTGTGGTGTAGACAGTGGAGCAGCTGGGCTGTGTGGTGTAGACAGTGGAGCAGCTGGGCTGTGTGGTGTAGACAGTGGAGCAGCTGGGCTGTGTGGTGTAGACAGTGGAGCAGCTGGGCTGTGTGGTGTAGACAGTGGAGCAGCTGGGCTGTGTGGTGTAGACAGTGGAGCAGCTGGGCTGTGTGGTGTAGACAGTGGAGCAGCTGGGCTGTGTGGTGTAGACAGTGGAGCAGCTGGGCTGTGTGGTGTAGACAGTGGAGCAGCTGGGCTGTGTGGTGTAGACAGTGGAGCAGCTGGGCTGTGTGGTGTAGACAGTGGAGCAGCTGGGCTGTGTGGTGTAGACAGTGGAGCAGCTGGGCTGTGTGGTGTAGACAGTGGAGCAGCTGGGCTGTGTGGTGTAGACAGTGGAGCAGCTGGGCTGTGTGGTGTAGACAGTGGAGCAGCTGGGCTGTGTGGTGTAGACAGTGGAGCAGCTGGGCTGTGTGGTGTAGACAGTGGAGCAGCTGGGCTGTGTGGTGTAGACAGACAGTGGAGCAGCTGGGCTGTGTGGTGTAGACAGTGGAGCAGCTGGGCTGTGTGGTGTAGACAGTGGAGCAGCTGGGCTGTGTGGTGTAGACAGTGGAGCAGCTGGGCTGTGTGGTGTAGACAGTGGAGCAGCTGGGCTGTGTGGTGTAGACAGTGGAGCAGCTGGGCTGTGTGGTGTAGACAGTGGAGCAGCTGGGCTGTGTGGTGTAGACAGTGGAGCAGCTGGGCTGTGTGGTGTAGACAGTGGAGCAGCTGGGCTGTGTGGTGTAGACAGTGGAGCAGCTGGGCTGTGTGGTGTAGACAGTGGAGCAGCTGGGCGGTGTGGTGTAGACAGTGGAGCAGCTGGGCTGTGTGGTGTAGACAGACAGTGGAGCAGCTGGGCTGTGTGGTGTAGCCAGTTGCTCTTAGGCTGTTTTTCCTGTTGCTTCAGGCCTAAATTTGGACAGTGTGTGACTGTGCTGAATAATGTGGGCAGTTGTAACACAACAGCAAGTATTTGTGTATCTAAACATAGAAAAGGTGATGTGTTGTGCTCCGATGTTACAATGGCTACAACATCATTAGCAATAGGAATATGTCAGTTCTGTTATAATTTTATGGAACCACTGTAGTATATGCAGTCTGTAGTGTACCGAAACACCATCATGTGACACATGTATGTACACAGTGGATATACACAGGTGATCTGCAAATATTATGCCATTTTATATCTGAAACTTCAGCATCCTCAAATTTTGGTAGCTGTGGGAGGTCCTGGAACTAACTCCCATATATACCAAAGGATGACTGTATATAAAACTAGCCTATAGAAGTTGGAAATCTTTCTAAAATTGAGGCTAACTCTGAAGTTGACTTCCTTTTCACATTATTTTCCCTCTTGATTTGTTTTAATCATTAACCTTATTTCAGATTTTTTGTATTAGATATCAATATCTCCATCATCACTGACTCCTGACACACGCATTCACACACACACACACACACACACACACACCCAGACCCTATGTGGGTCTAGAACTTTGTATTAAGTAGCTGTTTAAACACTTTGTGTACATTCTGCAGTATGCTTGAACTCTGTTGAAAGTATTTCAGTGGTCCCCGTGTGGTGGCTCACTCCTGTAATCTCAACACTTTGGGAGGCCAAAGCAGGCAGATCTCCTGAGGTTAGGAGTTCGAGATCAGCATGGCCAGCATGGCAAGACTTCGTCTCTACTAAAAATACAAAAATTAGCCTGGCGTGGTGGTGCACGCCTGTAGTCCCAGCTACTTGGGAGGTCAAAGCAGGAGAATCACTTGAACCCAGGAGGTGGGGGTTGTAGTGAGCTGAGATTGCACCATTGCATTCCAGCCTGGGCAACAAAACGAGACTCCCTCTCAGAAACAAAAAAGTATTTCAGTAAAATCTATGTATTTGAAATAGAGTCACATAGAAAGTAGAGCACATGGGATCTTCAAAATATATTGGGTAGAAAAATCAGAAAACAAAAATTATTATTCATTCAGAAATAAAGGAGAAGAAAAAAGGGAATAAAAAACTTCAAGGTCAGACTATGTAAAGGTGCCCTGAAGGATACAAAGATTAGAAAGCTTAGACGCTGCTGGATACAGATATGTAAAAGTGTGAGTCAGAATACTGAAAGTACCCTAATAAGTGCTTTACGTTGTAATCACATGGGAGGGATAAATGGGGGTTCAGAAAATTAATGTTTGATGCACTAAGGTAGGAATGGGCCAACTATGGCCTATAGGCCAAATCTGGCCTGCTGCCTGTTGTTACGTCCTGTGAGCTGAGTGTTTTTCTCATATTTAAACGGATGGAGAAGAATCAAAATATTTTGTGACACATGAAAATTAAATGTAATTCAGTGTCCATAAATATTGGCATGCACCCACACTCAGTTTACATACTGCCCAGTTCACCTATTGCCTGTGACTATTTTAGTGTTACAGAGGCAGAGTTCATACTCTCTGGCCCTTCACAGAAAAAACTTGCCAAGCACTGCCTTAAAGCATCTATTGAATATAACGAATTAAGTCTTCTCCTGTTTATCTAGAATGATATCAGCTAAGTACTGTCCTGGGGGAAATTGACAAAACTCATACAAATAATTTTTCTGATAACCCAGGAGCTTGGGTTGAGAAAAACTGGATTAAGTCTTACTGTGACATTGGTAGAAAGGTTATTGAATGTCTGGCACGAGTTGTGCCTTGAAAAAATGGATTTCAACCAAGATTGGCCTGTGGCAATCTTGAGCAACTATGCAGAGACAGGCAGTGGGAAAAACAATTCAGGATGGCAATGGGAGCACATTCTAGAGATTACAGAAGCTGGTGTAGAAAAGCAGGATGAAAAGTTAGGTTGGGGCCAAAAACCAGAGAAGAAAAGTACACTGGAAAAAGGATTGAGTATCAAGTGCTGCAGAGGATCTCAGAGGTCAAGAATTTAGAGCGGAACGTTGAGCTTGGCCTTCAGGAGCATGACTGTGATAAAAGGCCAGCTGTGAAACCTGTAGGAGAAATGATGACCCAGATAGTGCTGAGCAGCCGGCTGGCAGCGTTCTTGGGGTCCCTGTGGGGATGCAGAGTGGTACAACTGCAGATGGGGAAGCAGCATCATTATTAACCTGTGTTTATATGACATTCAGAAAAATATATGATGGCCTTTCTTTCTCTTTTCCTTTAATATTAGTGTTCTAGAACAGATCAGACATTTTGTAATGATGCCTGAAATAAACACTAACCACCTCGACAAGCAACAGGTTCAACTCCTGGCAGAGATGTGTATCCTTATTGATGAAAATGACAATAAAATTGGAGCTGAGACCAAGAAGAATTGTCACCTGAACGAGAACATTGAGAAAGGTGCTGCTTTGAAACAGTCTTTCTTGTAAAGCGATTTGTGTAGGCATTTCCGATTTGCTGAGAAGAGCACTCTGTTCAAGGAAGTGCAGTCTTCAGTAATACCGTATTTTCTCGTTGGTTCCAGTTCGTTAAATAGTGTGGTCATTAGCATCTGCTTTGCTGTCTTCCTGTTACAGCGATTTCTCTTCACTTCATGCCTGTTACTCGGCTTCTTCAGAGTTATTCTGGATTCATAGAAGAGGGACTAGCCCTGACATACAGCAGCAGCCTAGCCTCTAATATTTCTAGAGAGTGGAGAGAGGCGGGCACCATGCAGGGAAGCATGTGCCTTCACCACTTTCCGAGAACTGAATGTCCTTGATAGGGAACTTGACTGCCGGAAAGGGGCCACCAGCATCACCATTTCCTTCACTCGACGGCCAACTTCCTTGCCCAGTGCAGAGCTCTTCCTCACCATAGCCATGCAGAGACTATGCATGTGGATAAACCATGGGAAAAAGCAAAAGCAGCAGCAAGTTACTAATGTTATTCTGAACTGCAGGGAGAGAATTTGGCAAATAACTGGTACTTAAGGCTAAAATAATTGTTATTTCTTTTGCTTTCAGGATTATTGCATCGAGCTTTTAGTGTCTTCTTATTCAACACCGAAAATAAGCTTCTGCTACAGCAAAGATCAGATGCTAAGATTACCTTTCCAGGTTAGTACACTTTTAATGTACAATATTGTGTTTGTACATTAATTTGACTTTTTATCATTCTGAATTCTTGGAGCCAAGGTCACAAAGGGAAATCCTGTGAATGGCATAATTTTATATTCTGCATAAAGTGAGTTTACACAATGAGTGCAACCTAATACAACAGCAAGAAAAAATAAGAACTAGTAAGCAATTGGGCAATATGTATAATTTACATATTTATCTTTAATCTGTATTATCTACACTTTGATCTTTTTTGGTTAAAGAAGTATTAATAAGGAACCTACCTACAAATGTAGTCTGTTTCACAACATAATTACTGATAGCCCATTATAACCAATTTTAAAATCCTTAAAATAATTACTGATAGCCCATTATAACCAATTTTAAAATCCTTAAAATAATTACTGATAGCCCATTATAACTGATTTTAAAATCCTTAAAAATCATTTCATTTTTCAGTTACTTATAAAACTTTTTCTTGATCTTTCAGACCTACTTTGAAGAAAAGTTGATCTGTCTCTGTATTACCATTTTCCAGGTTGTTTTACGAATACGTGTTGTAGTCATCCATTAAGCAATCCAGCCGAGCTTGAGGAAAGTGACGCCCTTGGAGTGAGGCGAGCAGCACAGAGACGGCTGAAAGCTGAGCTAGGAATTCCCTTGGAAGAGGTAACCAGCTCTCCTACACAACCATACAAGCTGAAACCTAAACATACTATAAAAAGGTTTTTAATAAAATTTTTAAATTCAAATGTAGTTCTCTGCTTGGTAACCTCCGGAGTTATGAGTTAGCCCCACAAACCATCTTGAATAAAGATTATTTAAATTTTAATTTCTTAATATCACTTGTCAAAACTTAGCTCAATACGGGGATGGATTGATCTGTTAAGCACTATATAAGGTTGAATATTTCTATAATTGATCAAATCTAAGATGAGTATTTTCAAGTGTTACAGCTCTTGTAGAATTTAACTGACAGGTTTTCCAGTTCTCACCTAAAACTCCCCACCTACAAAAAAGGTGAAGATTTTCTGATGGAAACTCTTAGGAATATGAACCATAAATCTCATTGGTTTAATTGAAATCATTTTTTTTCTTGGAATTGTCCCCCTTAAATAAGACCTGGATAAATAAAGTATTTCTTATCTATATTTTCCAAAAAGCAATTTTAAAATATGAAAAAGAAAAATGTCGGGCCGGTCGTGGTGGCTCACGCCTGTAATCCCAGCACTTTGGGAGGCTGAGGCAGGTGGATCACGAGGTCAGGAGTTCGAGACCAGCCTGACCAACATGGTGAAACTCCGTCTCTACTAAAAATACAAAAACTAGCTGGGCATGGTGGGGCGGCACGTCTGTAATCCCAGCTACTCAGGAGGCTGAGGCAGGAGAATCGCTTGAACCTGGGAGGCGGAGGTTGCAGTGAGCTGAGATCACACCATTGCACTCCAGCTTGGGTGACAGCAAGACTCCGTCTCACAAAAAAAAAAAAAAGAAGAAAAAGAAGAATGTCACATTTCTAGTTTGAGTGACTGCCCCTTTTTTTAACATTAAAAAAAAAAAAACTTATCTGATCGGGAAAAAAACGCAAACACTTGAAACTAATGATGTAATCATTTTTCCATATATAATATTAAGATTTCCATATACCATTGATAGGAGATTAATGCTTTAACCAAGTTCTAATCCTAAAACTATACTGCTGTTCGAGATATCGCTGTAATACAGTGAGCTAATTTTAGATTTTTTTTGTTACGGTGGCCGATGTTTTAATTACTTTTTTTTTTTTAATGTCTTAGGTTCCTCCAGAAGAAATTAATTATTTAACACGAATTCACTACAAAGCTCAGTCTGATGGTATCTGGGGTGAACATGAAATTGATTACATTTTGTTGGTGAGGAAGAATGTAACTTTGAATCCAGATCCCAATGAGATTAAAAGCTATTGTTATGTGTCAAAGGAAGAACTAAAAGAACTTCTGAAAAAAGCAGCCAGTGGTGAAATTAAGATAACGCCATGGTTTAAAATTATTGCAGCGACTTTTCTCTTTAAATGGTGGGATAACTTAAATCATTTGAATCAGTTTGTTGACCATGAGAAAATATACAGAATGTGAATATGTAGGTAAATGATTACAGAAAAATTTATCTGCTTAACAAACTTAGAATGACTTTTTCCTTTTAAATTTAGTTCTATCATTAATTTATCATTAAATTTAGTTCTATCATTTGGTACTATCATTAATGTATTATATACACTGATACTTTAAAACTTGTGTGGAAAAAACTAACTTATAATTTTGTATCACACACCCTGGATATGTGTTCTGTTTCTAAGCGACATTTGTGAGAGATTATTGTAAAATGAGAGCGAGCAAATAAAACTTAATTTAATCTTTGCAGATACATACTTATGGGAAATTTGAACAAATGAGTGAAACTCTGTTTTTAGTAGGCTGTGATAAACATTTCCGGAGCACTTGCAGAGGACTTGCTATTTGCCAGGTGCTTTATGTATCATTAAATTTTTCTCATAGTTCAGAAAAATGTGCAAAGGAAACTATTGTCTCGCTCCTTCAAAACAGTCTTAATTAACTTTCATATTAGCAGATTAAACTAGCAGAGCAGGTTCAAGGGAAATTAAATGATATGGACCCTAATTTGTATCATTCTGAGTTGATTGTGTGGTTTATTCATTCTGGAAACATGTTGATACTTACAGTCAGCCACTGCTTTTGATAAGTGATATTGATTAGGTTGAATCTTCTTGTAAATAGTATTTACCAGTTAGCAAAGTCTGTGTTTTCAGAATTACAGTGAGCACAGAGGTGTTCATAAAATGGGAATTGAGTCCCACTCGGTAAGAGTTGCTTAAACTTGACACTGTTGACATTTGGGCTGGATAAAACCCCTGTGGTGGGGTCTGTGCTGTGCATTGCAGGATGGTGAGCAGCGTCCCTCTCATGTGACACCCACAGTTATGCCGGATGTTGCCAGATGCCCCTAGGGGACAGAGTCAACCCCCAACTGAGGACCACTGTCCTACAGAGTCAGGAAATATTGTAGGGAGAAAAAAATAACAACAACAAAGGCCTGTGTTAATGTTAAATAGATGAGATTATGGAATGTGTATATTAATGTTAAAAATTGTACCTTGATCAATGTACTTTTTATAAACTTGCCATAGATATCTCAGATTTGAAACCTCAAGACAGATTTATTATTCTTAAATGCTGTATGATAATGAAGAAAAATAAAAATTTATTTCTTGCAAAGTTAAATGTTTGTTAAATTCAATAGAATGACTCATTTATGGTTAACTTTGGGCAATTTATAATTTCAGACAAGACTGTTTAGCAAGTATTTTATTGAAAAGTAAAAAAAATTGCAATTTAATACTGTGTTTAGTTTGTTAAAATTTTGATACACTAATAGGATATTGCCTGTATAGTTTCCGTTGCATTTATAATATTGTTTCTAATTTTTTTAGTTTTATTTTCTAGGAAGTTTTAGGCTGAAAGCCACATATAATTAGTTATGTGATAACTATGAGTTGCCATGGCTACTGAATTGGACATGGGACCCTTAGACTGCTACCCAGCACCTTGTTAAGTACTTAGCAAGAGTTAGATACTACTGTTGTAATATTACTAGGATGCCATCCAGAAAATGTAAGGAATGTCTTTTGACCTGATAAACTCCTTAGAACTCCTTCATCTTTTATAAAGAGGAGTATCCCTCTCCTAGATATAGCTGCTTCTGACCCCAAAGGCAGATGTGTTGGTTTTCAACTAGAAAGCTAAATGGTACCTATAAATTTTTTTTTTCTTAAACTGTTTTAAACTCTTAATCTTCAAAATATATACTTCTTTGATTCTGGTCAAACCATTGCCAACTCCTTTAAGGACAAAGTAGAGGTGGCCTTCTAATAATTGCTGATTCTGTTTCCCTACCTATATTATCAAGAGAACAAGACCAAAACAGAAAATGGTATAATAGGAAGGAAGGCACATTTTCTTCTTACTTGGCCCTGGCACCTGGGGACAAGTCCAGGTCGTACCCGCAGTGCATCCCTGTGGGAACTGCCCTCCACCTGCTCCCTGGGGACACGTCCAGGTCGTACCCGCAGTGCGTCCCTGTGGGAACTGCCCTCCACCTGCTCCCTGGGGACAAGTCCAGGTCGTACCCGCAGTGCGTCCCTGTGGGAACTGCCCTCCACCTGCTCCCTGGGGACAAGTCCAGGTCGTACCCGCAGTGCGTCCCTGTGGGAACTGCCCTCCACCTGCTCCCTGGGGACAAGTCCAGGTCGTACCCGCAGTGCGTCCCTGTGGGACCTGCCCTCCACCTGCTCCATGGGGACAAGTCCAGGTCGTACCCGCAGTGCGTCCCTGTGGGAACTGCCCTCCACCTGCTCCCTGGGGACACGTCCAGGTCGTACCCGCAGTGCGTCCCTGTGGGAACTGCCCTCCACCTGCTCCCTGGGGACACGTCCAGGTCGTACCCGCAGTGCGTCCCTGTGGGAACTGCCCTCCACCTGCTCCCTGGGGACACGTCCAGGTCGTACCCGCAGTGCGTCCCTGTGGGAACTGCCCTCCACCTGCTCCCTGGGGACAAGCCCAGGTTGTACCCGAAGTGGGTCCCTGTGGGAACTGCCCTCCACCTGCCCCTTAGGGGGTGCTTGTGCAGTGGTTTCATCCTCTCACTTGGATCTGTCCGTTGGACCCTCACTAGGGTTGGGAGTTCCTCATGGGATGAGGTACTCTAGATCCCCTCTTGACAGATTTTCTTTTTATTATTTCAGATACACCTCTTCTTCACCCTTCCTCTCTGGGTGCTTTTTCAGCCCTAAGTATGTACTTACACATTTTATAACATTTTATAGCATGAACTGAAGTGTGTATTTGTGTGTATTCAGGTATCCTGACAGCTTTCTGCTTTACAATTTTCACACATTATACTTATTTACCATACATGGTTTAGACTCCCAAACGTAAATCTCCAACACCGCATTCTCTCCTCTATTTTATATGCATATAGGTGAATGCATAAGTAAACTGATATATCCAGACAGTAGGATGTTATTTGGCACTAAAAAGAAATGAGCTATCAAGCCACAAAGACAGGGAGGAAAGTTAGGTGCATGTTGCTGAAAGAAGCATGAAAGGCTACATCCTGAAGGAGTCCAGTTCTCCAACATTCCAGTAAAGGAAAACTGGAAACAGTAAAAAGCCAGGGGTGACGGGAGGGAGGAATGAGTGGGCAGGGCACAGGATTTTTAGGGCAGTGAAACTCTTCTGCATGGTACTGAATTGGTGGATATAGGTCATTATGCATTTGTCCAACACCAAGAGCAAGCCTCATGTAAACTGGACTCCAGGTGATAATGATGTGTTGACGTACGTCTATCGGCTGTAACAAATGGACCACTCCGATGAGGATGTAGATAGTGGGGGAGTCTGTGTGTGTGGAGGGGCTGGGGGTTTATGGAAACTGTCTACCTTCCACCCAATTTTGCTGTGAACCTGAACTGGTCGAAAGAATAAAGTCTATTAAAATTTGGGTGTTAAACATGAAAAGAAGCTTAACCTCATTAATCACAGGGTAGGTGCAAATTGAAACCCGAATTTAAAAGACCAACATCACCAAGTGTTGACGGAATATAAAGTAACTGCTTCTGAGCATGCCTGCTACCATGAAGCTGTTGGCCACTATCTACTAAAGTCAAACGAGTCAGACCTGGCAGGAGACAAATGTGCGTGGTTCTGCCTTCTTTTGTTGCCATTTTACTAACTAAGCAGCGAACGAATGCAGCATATTCTTGGGCTGGGAAGTCACTGACATATTCGTTGTTACTTTGAGAAACAAGGTGTTTCCCAGATTTTTATGCACTGCCCTATAAGTAGGTGATACAGTGTGGGTTCAGGGCTTGCCTCGCTCACGCTCACGGAGCTCTTTGCTACATGTCCAGTCTCTATCCCAGGGACGCCCCTGCAGAACATCTGCAGTGGTTACATCAGCCTTGGTGTCTGCACAATCGGATGCTGCCATGCCGCGGGAGCAGTCCTGCTATACACAGCAGTGTGAGTAAATCCACAGACCCAATCTTGAGTGGAAGAAGCCGGATACAAAAGGCATACGTGATTCCAGTGAAATAAAGGTCAAAAACAGGCGAAACCAATTAAGATGTAGGCAAGAATAGAAGCTACTTCCAGGGGGCGCAGGGAGCCTTGTGATTTTCGAAGTGTTCTCTATGTTGATAGGGTGTTAATTACATGGGTGAATATGTTAGGATTGATTGAAACAATTTGTGCACTTTTAAGTGACAGCTTAACACAATATAGAATCCGTGAGCTCTAGAGAACAGAGCTCAGCACTGATAGAGAATCAGTGGAGAGCAAGTGGCATCTCACCTTGACAGGAGTGGAAGTGCAGGTACTTCTGGCCACTGCATCTTGGTATCAGATTGGCCAGGAAAAGCCATGAAGACACGCCCTGCGTGGGTTGGGGCTCCACTCCTGAGAGAAGAAAGAAAGGTCAGCTCCCACGGTGTACGTCGGGTCCCCATGCCCGTGGGCCCCTGCAGGCAGCTGACACGGCGTTGGTTGACATGACACACTTATGCTGTAGGAAAAGAACTCTGTCCCCACCCCCACCCCACGGGGGACAGATGCCGCAGTGGGGTTGGTCACGTGCTGCTCAATCACATGCCCTGACGCAGATTAAAAGGAACACACAGAGTCTGAAGAGGAAAGGTGTTCCCACGCCAGGTGACAAGCCAGCTCTGGCTGTGAGGCCTTGCCTGCATCTCAGCGTGTCCACGTGCTTTCCCTTCTGCCTGGAACCTGCACTGCCTTAGTCTGCACCTGGCTGAATATGACTCATTTAAACCCTTGGCTTAAACGTCATCTCAGATGATCTTCCCAGGACTCAAATCTGAATCACCAGCATGAAGTCAGAGCTCAGTGACTTTGAGTAAATTATGAATAAAAACTTAAGCATTGGCCGGGCGCAGTGGCTCACGCCTGTAATCCCAGCACTTTGGGAGGTCGAGGCGGGCGGATCACGAGGTCAGGAGTTTTGAGACCAGCCTGGCCAACATGGGGAAACCCCATCTCTAGTAAAAATACAAAAATTAGCAGGGCGCAGTGGTAGGTGCCTGTAGTCCCAGCTACTCGGGAGGCTGAGGCAGGAGAATGGTGTGTGAATCCAGGAGACGGAGCTTGCAGTGAGCCGAGATCGTGCCACTGCACTCCAGCCTGGGTGACAGAGCGAGACTCCATCTCAACCAAAAAAAAAAAACACAAAAAAAACTTAAGCATATACTCACAGGTCCCATAAGGCTACATTGCTTGTGTACAGACAGTTCCCTCTCAGCAGTCGCCACTCCCACGTCAAAGGCTGTTCATGCTTCCCTTCAGGTAATGGTGGGCCAGGTGGGCCAGGTGGGCCAGGCAGTGGCACAGCCCACCTCCCAAGAGCGCTGGAAAAACCTGAGAGAGAATGTCAGAGACCAAATAGCTCTGAAAAGAAGCATAGGGCAAAATCTAGGAGAAGAAAACCTGTGCTGCTTTTCCCAAGGGGCATTGCCCAGTTCCAGTAAATGAGCAGAGAGGCTGGGCAATGGAGAGGTGCTTCCAATAGCCAGACAGGAATGGGGGAGCAGAGACCAGGGGTGAGAGCTGCGAGGGCAAGGCCCACGGAGAGCTTCCCAGGCTTCACGTGCTAGGAAGAGGAATTTAGGGCCAGCCTGGAATTGGCTCAAAACCTGTTTTTATTAGGGAAATCTGAGATAGTTACTTCTCTAGTTTCTTGCAGAAAACCATTATGTGGAGGACAATAGCACATCACAGACTCCAAACAACCCCCATGTCTTTGTCATACACAGCATCCAGAGCTCGCTGGGCATCCACCCGGTGGGAGACAGGCCAGCACGACCAAGTGGCCAGCACACCAGCCAGCAGCAGTGACTTCAGGGCCCAGAGAACGTCAGCACGCTGAAACCTAAGACACAAAGCTTAACATCAAAGAAATAAAAGTCATGACAGAATTTTTAGAGAAACTGGACATTATTTTTTTTAAAGAACCAAATGGGCCCTGTTTTGAAGGATGTCCCTGAGAGCCATCGGCCCCAGCAGAGAATCACTGCTGGGGTCTCTGTTTCTTATCACAGAAATTCTAGAACTGTGTCCAGAACATAATCAGCACTCAATAATTATTAGCTAAAGGGAAGAAAGAAGGAAGAGAAGATAGACTAGAATGTCTTCCATGTGAATTTTTTATTGAGGAAGCTTGAGAGGCGGCCAAGAGGCCTGGGGAGGCCTGCGTTCCTGGCTTTAGGCTGTTTGTTGAGCAAAGACAGTGACCTTTCTGTTCCCAGGGAGAACAGCCCTTCTCAGTTTCATTATGGACAATGTTCTTCACAGCCCTTACGTTACTTTCCAGAGGAAGAGATGCAGACTTCATAGACCTATTTAAGTAAGATTGAAAGATGATTTTATTAAAATCTTTCCAATTTTTATACTTCTGGCCAACAATAGGCATTCTTAGAATTTTTGAAATTTACAACTTAATCATGACACGTGAACATCCTAAAGCACACACATGTCCTTGAAGATATTCCACAGAGAAGCTACAATGAAAGCCGTAAGACTCTGTGACTGGCTCTGTGACCATGGTTTGCAGATTGATCTGAGCACTTTGGCCAGGCATGTGCCATTTGATTCTTGTCCCAGGAAGCCCAAGACGTGACACGGTGACCCACTTTAATGTGTTTATACATAAGTGATTTCAGGAGGCAAAAAAACAGATTACACTTTTTTTTTTTTTTTTGAGACGGAGTCTCGCTCCTTCGCCCAGGCTGGAGTCCAGTGGTGCGATCTCGGCTCACTGCAAGCTCCGCCTCCCGGGTTCACGCCATTCTCCTGCCTCAGCCTCTGAGTAGCTGGGACTACAGGCGCCCGCCACCACGCCCGGCTAATTTTTTTGTATTTTTAGTAGAGACGGGGTTTCACCGTGTTAGTCTGGATGGTCTGGATCTCCTGACCTCGTGATCCGCCCGCCTCGGCCTCCCAAAGTGCTGGGATTCAGATTACACTTTTAAAAGTAATGGCAAACATAATTCTCAATTTAGGGTCTCAGTAATTTACAAATGTATGTCTAGAGTTAATGGGCATAGAAATTTACCCAGAAGAATTAGGAGGGGTATGTATGCAAGGGGTAGAAATAGGATCCCAATTCAGAGAAAAGGGAATTGTTCTCAGGGAATCAGGACAGGGAAAGTTTAGGGAGAAGAGAAGAACCAAAGTATTGAACTTGGGGCAAGACCAGAGTAAGAACCAACAGTAAAACCAAATTGCTGCACAAAAATAGTAAACAATGAGACAGGGATAGTTTTTTGGCCTGAAAATACTAGCCCATACATGTATGCCAAAAGCCTACTGGCAGTGTACCCAAAGAGACTACTTACAGCACCATGGCACAACACAGGCATGCAGTGGGTAAGGTTTCCTGGCATCTCGTCACAACCACTGGGCCTTGACCTTGGCCATCCCTGAGCTCTGAGCTCAGGTCTTAGCAGGTTGGTCCTACTGATTGTAACAGGGCCCTTGTCACTGGAGTTTGGCCAGTTATGTTAACATCTAGCTATTTATGAACCTTGTCATTAGTAATTATTACAAGATACAACATAATAGGAACAACTCTATTCATAAAAAATATATACACATAAACAACAAAAACATGTATATGTATTGTTATTCAGCCTCCTAGATGAATAACAGCTTAAACCTTATTAAGTCTTTCATTTTTTGCCTTTCATTTACTTAATTTTCTATTACAGTTTCAGAGCTTGGGTTATACCTGAGCCTAAACATGGTTAAATACCACCCAGTTGTACAGGAGACAGGATCAAACGATAGAGAAAATAGAGAAGTGAGTGTTGGAGGAAGAGCAGTAGTCTTCTCATGGCTGAAAATTAAAGCTAAGTCTGAGACTGACCCCTATTCACGTGGATATGGGGCCCATTTTAATAATGAACTTACGACCGGGTGCGGCGGCTCACGCCTGTAATCCCAGCACTTTGGGAGGCCGAGGCGGGCAGATCACAAGGTCAGGAGATCGAGACCATCCTGGCTAACACGGTGAAACCCCGTCTCTACTAAAAAATACAAAAATTTAGCCAGGCGGAGTGTCAGGCGCCTGTAGTCCCAGCTACTCGGGAGGCTGAGGCAGGAGAATGGCGTGAACCCGGGAGGCGGAGCTTGCAGTGAGCCGAGATCGCCCCACTGCACTCCAGCCTGGGCGACAGAGCGAGACTCCATCTCAAAAAAAAAAAGAAAAATGAACTTACATTTCTTTCACATATATTCAACTCTTCACATGTTCTTTTTCTCCTTTTGTTGGATTTATCGAGCTGTGCTTTTCAAGGATTTGTCGATTTAATGCACATTATCAAAGTTAGAGTTGTAACCTTTCCCTACATACAATCTTAGTATGTTTTTAGTATCTTCCTTTTTCTTACACATTTTCCAAAATCTTTCCTATCTCCCAATAGCATATGCAGAAGAAAATGAGATATCTCAAATATAGCAAAAACTGCATCAGATTGCTTTGGAATAAAAAAATTGAAAAGCTTCTAGTGATCCCAGCACTTTGGGAGGCCAAGATTGGCAGATCACTTGAGGCTAGGAGTTTGAGAGCAGCCTGGGTGACATGGTGAAACCCCATCTCTACAAAAATTAGCCGGGCATGGTGGTGTGTGCCTGTAATCGCAGCTACTCAGCAGGAGGAAGGAGGGACAGGCAGGGGGAGGGGGCTGAGGGACAAGAATTGCTTGAACCCGGGAGGCAGAGGTTGCGGTGAGCCAAGATCGCACCACTGCACTTCACCCTGGGCAACAGAGTGAGACTGTCTCAAAAAAAAAAAAAAAAAAAAAAAGGAGCAACAAAGTTGGAAAAAGCCATTAACTAGAATGATCAAGAAGAACAGAGAGAATGCACAAATGATGAAAATCCGAAATAATGCAGGTACATCTTTGTATTACCCAGCTAAGGCATAGTAATTAAAATCTTCCCATGAAGAAAAGACAAGGCCCAGTGGCCTCACTAGTGAGTTCTACCAAACATTTAAAGAAGAAGTATTGGCCGAGCATGGTGGCTCACGCCTGTAATCCCAACACTTCAGGAGGCTGAAGCGGGCGGATCACCTGAGGTCAGGAGTTCAAGACCAGCCTGACCAACACGGTGAAACCCCGTCTCTACTAAAAATACAAAATTAGCCGGGTGTGGTGGCACACGCCTGTAATTCCAGCTACCCAGGAGGCTGAGGCAGGAGAATCACTTGAAACTGGGAGGCGGAGGTTGCAGTGAGCCGAGATCGCGCCATTGCACTCCAGCCTGGACAACAAGAGCGAAACTCTGTCTCAAAAATAATAAAAAATAAGAAATATTACCAGTCCTTCATAAGCACTTCCAAGAAATAGAGGAAAAAGGAACACTTTCTTTTGGTTATTACAAGAAACTATACCAATGTATTTTAGTTATTTTATATTTTTTATATATTGGTGTTATTTTATTAGTTTTATATATATTATTTTATAACTAATCTATATGTTATATTAATTATTTTATATATTATGGTTATATTGCAGTTATATGTAGGTATATATAGCTATATATAGTTATATTAGTTATCATATTAGTTATTTTATATATTGTTATTTTATATTTTATATATAATATTTTTAGTTATCCTACCTCCCAAAAGCATATGCAGAAGAAAACGGGATATCTCAAATATAGCAAAAAGATTTCTATTGAGAAATGTTCAGTAATAAGTAAAATGACACATATGTGATTGATATTTTTTTTTTTTGAGTCATTGTCTTGCTCTGTTGCCCAGGCTGGAGTGTAATGGCACGATCTCAGCTCACTGCAACCTCCACCTCCTCAGTTCAAGCAATTCTCTGCCTCAGCCTCCCGAGTAGCTGGGATTACAGGTGCCTGCCACCATGCCTGGCTAATTTTTGTATTTTTAGTAGAGATGTGGTTTCACCATGTTGGCCAGGCTGGTCTTGAACTCCTGACCTTGTGATCCACCCACCTCGGCCACCCAAAGTGCTGGGATTACAGGTGTGAGCCACTGCGCCCAGTGTGATTGATATCTTAAGGCTGATGACAGCAGCCCTCTCAAATGAATCTGCAATTTGCTACTGAATCCATACAATTCACCTCCTCCAGTATTTGGCCAAGCCACACAGTAACTATTTATAATAGATATTACAAGAATAACTATTATCAATCACGAATCCAGATACAAAAATCTTAAAATATTAACAGAAACCAGCAACATATAAAAAGAATATTCTCCATGCCCAAGTGGGATTTATTTCAAGAAAGCAAGGCTAGTTTAACATCTGAAAATCAATTAATATGATACACCATATTGCTAGAATAAAGGGGAAAAGACCACACAAGACTCATTTCAGTAGAAATGCAGAAAAAACATTTGACAAAACTCAACATCAATTCATGATAAAATCTCAAGAAAGTAAGACGAGAAGGGAACTTCTTCAACCTGATAAAGGTCACCTTCTGAAAACCTACAGCCAACCCTATCTTTGCATTGAACAATGCTGTAGAACTACAGCTCAACACACTTTCTTAGGAAAGCAGAATCTGAGAGCCCATTCAGAAAAAGAACTACCTCAACACTCTTTCTTAGGAGAGCAGAATCTGAGAGCCCATTCAGAAAAAGAACTACCTCAACACACTTTCTTAGGAAAGCAGAATCTGAGAGCCCATTCAGGAAAAGTCTGAGAGCCCATTCAGAAAAAGTGTTCTTTGGAGAGCAGGATTGAATTAGTTTGATCTTTTCAATTGAATGAGGCAGTAAGCCACTAGGTACAGTGATACTAGCTTTGGTAATGTGCAGCTGTAGAGGGTTTGTACAAGGTTATTAAATTACATTCAAAATTTTGGTCTAGAATATCTTTTAGTTTTGGTGACCTAGGTCCATTATGTGCCTTAGGAATATACAAATATATGTAATCCAGGCTGGAGTACAGTGGCTCAATCCCAGCTCACTGCAGCCTTGACCTCTGAGGCTCAGGCGATTCTCCCATCTCAGCCTCCAGAGTAGCTGGGACTACAGGTGCACACCACCATGCCTGGCTAAGTTTTTGTATTTTTTGTAGAGATGGCTCTTGCCATTGTTGTCCAGGCTGGATGCCTGGGCCCAAGTAATCCACCCGCCTCAGCCTCCCAAAGTGCTAGGATTACAGGCGTGAGCCGCTGCGCCGGACACTGCCTTAAGAGTATACGAATGTATTTTTGATGCAAATGGAACTTTTCATTCAGGTGTAAATAAACTTGAGCTAAGTAAATGGTTAATAATAGGAGTTGATTTACATGCTTGCATTTATCTATTTTTTTCATTTACATACAACTCCTTGTGGGAAAGTGCACTAAAGATGCTGAGTACAAAAACTTTGTATTTATTTGCAGGATATATCTGAATATTTTTAATTAATTAAATAACCGAAGTTCCAAATTATAAACCTACAATCATGGACAGACATGGGAGCTTAAAGATTGCGTGGCTTGGCCAAATATTGGAGGAGGTCCAGGCGCAGTGGCTCACGCCTGTAATCCTAACATTTTGGGAGGCCAAGGCAGGCGGATTGCCTGAGCTCAGGAGTTTGAGACCAGCCTGGGCAAAGTGGTGAAACCCCATCTCTACTAAAATACAAAAAAAAAATTAACCAGGGGTGGCAGCGTGCACCTGTAGTCCCAGCTACTCGAGAGGCTGAGGCAGGAGAATTGCTTGAACCCAGGAGGCGGATGTTGCAGTGAGCCGAGATCATGCCATTGCACTCCAGCCTGGAGACAGAGGGAGACTCCGTCTCAAAATACGTATATATTAGAGGAGGCGAATTGTATGGATTTAGTAGCAAACTGCAGATTCATTTAGGAGGGCTGCTGTCATCAGCCTTAAGACATCAATTACATATGTGTCATTTTACTTATTATTGAACACTTCTGAGTACTTGTTCTAGAAGCTCTCCCAAATTAATTATCTCTTCCAAATTTTCCCAGTAATACCAAGGGCCTCATCTTTTCTGATCATTGCTAAAGTGTTAATTCTTTCTTGATTTATATAGATAAAAATAACCCTATTATGGAAAGTTATTTTTATTTTCCTCACTGCCAAAATTTTATTCATCACCGTTTTCCAACATATGGATTTGAGTATAATCTCTTAAGATATTTACAGAAATTTTAACCTATGTTATCAAATATCAGGAAGTGCTTATCTTAGAAGCTTGTTCTTTGGAATTTTGTTGACAGGAGTTGAAAATTTGAACAGCTCAACAATTGTACTTAACAATTTAGGTTAAGTTACTTGATAGTTTTAAACGTGAGAAAAGGAACGAGAAATATTAGAGAAAGGAACTGGATATAGTGAGCATGAAGGAAGTTTTCTAAGAGTGTTCCTGCAAAGGAGTAGCTTGCTGGGCAAATGAGGTCTAAAAAACTAGCTGTTACTTAAATGAAATCATAGTCACATGCTTGCAGACTGATAGGAGAATTCCAACAGAGAGAGAGAAAACGTGATGATAGAGAAGAAAAAGGGAAAATTGCTGGACGATGTCTTTGAGTAGGTGACTGTGGGTGAATCTGCTGCAGAAGAAGTTATTTTTTGTTTTTTGTTTGTTTTTGAGACAGAGTCTCGCTCTGTTGCCCAGGCTGGAGTGCAATGGAGCGATCTCTGCTCACGGCAAGCTCGGCCTCCCGAGTTCACACCATTCTCCTGCTTCAGCCTCCTGAGTAGCTGGGACTACAGGCGCCCACCACCACACCCGGCTAATTTTTTTGTATTTTTAGTAGAGACGGGGTTTCACCGTGTTAGCCAGGATGGTCTCGATCTCCTCACCTCGTGATCCACCTGCCTTGGCCTCCCAAAGTGCTGGGACTACAGGCATAAGCCACCGCACCCGGCCCTTTTTTCTATTTTTAGTAAAGATGGGGTTTCACCATGTTGACCAGGCTCATCTCAAACTCCTGACCTCAGGTGATCCACCCGCCTCAGCCTCCCAAAGTGCTGGGATTACAGGCATGAGCCACCACACCTGACCCAAGAAGTGACTTTTGGTAAGTACATGGATCACCCATCATTCTAGGTGGAAAGCAGAGGATTAGGGTTGTACAATGCCTAGGAGATGGAGTGATGGTGTTGGGAGTGGCTGTTCTCTTCTGCATGCAGCAGTTTTCTCAGAGATCTGAGAAGTTTACCCCAGTGTCGACGATAATGTGTCAGTATTTCTGGAACATGGCAAGCCCTTTCCATCTGTGGGTTTAAGTCATCTTGTGTGTCTGGGATATTTTTCTTTATTATTATGGCTCTCTTGTTCAAGGATACCCCTTTTAGCACATGCTGTATTTGTTTTACCCTCTCTTTCATACCTACAATACTTGGCCTACTCCTTTTTAACTCTTTCCACTTCCATTTCTTTTTACCTGCTTTTCCCAGTCTTGGCCTCCATGTCCTTCTCTATATTTCACTGATATCTAGAGCCCTTTCTGTTGCTTCTAATTTGCCTTAATCAGATGTAATCATCTATTCCTAGAGTTTATTCTTAACCTCCTACCTGCAGCATTATAGGTCATCAACTGTCATTCTTAAAGTTGTCATAACCTCTCTTAAGAAAATTCTCCGCATATAGCCTAATCAAAATGTCTTCCTTCCTTTCCTTTATAATGTTTTTTGTGTGCTTTATGTGTCAGAACCTTGTACCCAGATCAACCTAGCAAAGGGTTTCCCTCCTTTTTTATCCCCTAGAACATTTTACAGAGAATGACAATTCCTTCCTTGAAATTTTGATAACATTTGCCTCTAAAGCTTTCAGTGCTTAGTTTGGTGGTGACGATCCCAACATGTTAAACTGCACAGATTCTGGGGGCTCAGCTGCATCTGCAGCCACATTGCCTTGGGCAGGTAATTTACCTCTCTGTGCTTCAGTTCCTTATCGATGCTGTGATAATAAAAAATAACGCTTATCTCAGAAAGCTGTCGTGAGGACCAAATGAATTAATATACATTAAACTCTTAAAATAGAAACTGGCACAAAGGAAGGACACAATGTGTGTCTGGCTGTCTTACTATTATTATTATTACTATTAGAGTTGTTGGATTATAATAGGTACGGTATTGTATATTAGTTTCTTCCTCAAAGCCTAATTCATAGACTTATTTATTATTTTTTAGATCTTTAAAAGAGTATCATTCTCCCATTCTTACTCTTCTGACTGCAAAAGAAACAAGTTTCAAACAGACCATTTATTCCTGAGTCTCAGAACTGATTTCCAGGGAAAACATTTCAGGCATAGCCTTTTGATTTTCTACGTAACTAAAAATTACATGCATAAAGGTGAACTTATGGAAAGACAAAAGAGCAAAACACATTAATCTTTTTATAGAATATTACCCATCACTGCTGCTGTGTTATTTTTGTTCTGTATTATCCGTGCCAAAGTCAGCGGAGTCATGCGTCCATCGTGCTTCTCTCCTCATATTCCCTGAGAGAACCGACAGATATGGCAAACATTTTTTTGATATTTTAAGAGACCCTACTTGCAAAACTATTTGGCCTAGAGCTTTAGTTGGTAGATGATATTTGGAATATGATAGGCAAGAAATTATACAGTTTTTTAGCTCTTCCAAACACATTGGTTTCCAAGGTCTTGCATTTATTTATCGATTTTCAGCTATCCTAAGAATTTATTCAGTAATTTTAGTCACAATGTTTATTATTTTTCTCTTCCATTTGCCACCTTTATTTTTTCTTTTTAAAATCTGGGATGATATATACAGCAAGTGAATTAAAAAGATGCCATCGAACGGCGCCGTGGCTCACACCTGTAATCCCAGCACTTTGGGAGGCCGAGGCGGGCGGATCACCTGAGGTCAGGAGATGGAGACCAGCCTGGCCAACATGGTGAAACCTCGTCTCTACTAAAAATACAAAAAAATTAGCTGGGCGTGATGGCGGGCGCCTGTAATCTCAGCTACTCGGGATGCTGAGGCAGGAGAATCGCCCGAACCCGGGAGGCAGAGGTTGCAGTCAGCCGAGATCACGCCACTGCACTCTGGCCTGGGCAACAGAGCTAGACATCACCTTAAAAAAAAAAAAAAAAAGAAAGCCATAGAGTAGAAAATAACTTACCCTAGGTTTAAAAACTAAAAGCATTTTTTAAAGTGAGATTGTGTCAAAACAATTTTCTATTATCCCTCAATTGAGAGGGAGAAAGATAGAGAGAAAGAGATGGAGAGATAGAGAGAGACCGGGGTGTGTTTTCTTGTTAAGAATACAAAAATATCAGATTGCCTTAGCTGATATCTTTCTACATCCCCAGGGTATAAAAGGGCCCTGGTTCAACTTGCACATTGAGTTCCACATCTGATACCCAGGAGTCTCCAGCTTCCAAGAGAGGTTAGTGCATATGTTTTACCTTGTGGGAATTCTTTCTTTTATGATCTAAATTTGTACATATTCAGTAATTGTTTTCTCTGCATTTCTATTGTATCTCATGTCCATGCATTAAGTCAAACAGCCTTTTGCAAAGAGGAGGAGCAGATTGCTGAAAATATTAACAGTAATGATAATGGACAGACGTGAATGCATTTTTTTAAAAAGTAGAAAAGGATGATGAGAAGGTTTTACATGAAGATAAATGACCCTGAAAACATTTTTTTTTTTTTTTTTTGAGACAGAGTCTCACTCTGTCTGCCCAGGCTGGAGAGCAATGGCACGATCTCGGCTCACTGCAACCTCTGCTTCCCAGGTTCAAGTGATTCTCCTGCCTCAGCCTCCTGAGTAGCTGGGAATACAGGCATGTGCCACCAGGCCTGGCTAATTTTTGTATTTTTTAGTAGAGAGAGGGTTCCACCATGTTGGCCAGGCTGGTCTCAAACTCTTGACCTCAAGTGATCCTCCCACCTCGGCCTCCCAAAGTACTGGGATTACAGACGTGAGCCACCGCTCCTGGCCCTGAAAACATTTTGTGAGAAGATCTTCACCTAAGAATCTGCTTGGCTCTGAAGAGGACCATAGCCCTTCTGTGGGTGACGTAGCTTTCCTACAAGGCTGTGTGTTTCTCCACGTCTGATCCAGGTCCAGTGGTTTTGCACAGGGCTGCACTTTTCCCCAAAAACTTGTACAAAGAGTGTTACCTACAGTTTACCTCGGTGTGTTTTGTGTGTGTGTGTGTGTGTGTGTGTGTGTGTGTGTGTGTGTGGTGGGGCGGGGATTCTTTAACTCGTCACTAAAGGAAACCTGGAAAACATGAGGAGTATGTATGTACCCAAGATTTCCCGTTCAGAGAGACACCACATTAGAAACAGATGATTCACCTTCCATATCTCAGAACTGTGCTGCTTCAACACAATTGCTGTCACTTGTAGAGAAGGTGTATGCTAAATCCTAATGTGGTTGGTAACACATAGCAAAAACGAGATGGCAATATCTTTCACATAAAGAGGCATTTGTGTGCATCTATTTCAGGTCGGGTCACAGCCAGCAGCTATGTCTGACATAAATCTTGACTGGGTTGACAGGCGTCAGTTGCAGCGCTTGGAGGAAATGCTGATTGTTGTGGATGAGAATGATAAGGTTATTGGTGCCGACACCAAGAGGAATTGCCATCTGAACGAAAACATTGAGAAAGGTAGCCCCCGCCCATTTTCTCTGTCCAGTTCCCAGGGTTTTCCCATTTTTCCCACCCGACGGCAACCTAAGAAGAGAGTCTAGGCCTTTCCGGCTAGGAGGCGACCACTGGGTCACCTGTGTGCTTGCTGTGCCGTCTTTAGAAGGCTCGGGGAGCAGCACCTGGATGACGTCTTTGCTTGGTCAAGCCCTTGTCAGGCTCCTGCACCTTCTCCTAGGCATCCGTGCTCTTCCTCGTAAGATCCTGTTTCAGCAAGAATTCTACCAGGTTGTTTTAGCGAGAACCCTGACCTTGGCATCTGATTAAATTCCTCAACCCCGTCCCTCCCAGGTGACGTCTGATCACGCAGGCCTGTCTTCAGCAGGTCTTGTTAGGTCGGTGTAGCCAGAACCCCCTTCCCACTGATGTTTTCTCTTAGTAACTTTTAATCCATAGGCCCCAGCCTGCTCCTTGGGTGTTGTGTGCAGTTAGGCTGGTTCTCCATGGAGGTCTCTTTCCCCTATTGAAATGGTTCTCAGTAAAGTCAGACTTTCCTGCTTTAACTCCTGTCCAGCTCTGGTTTTCTTTGACCATCTTAAGCCATTTTATTATTTTTTAATTTTCATTTTTGTGTCTTTTTTATAAACACATAATAATTATGCATATTAATGGGGTACATGTGATAGTTTGATACCACCATGTCATGCATAATGATCAAATAGGGCATTTTGGGATATCCATCACCTCAAACATTCATCATATCTTTGTGTTGGGAACATTCCAAATCCTCTGTTCTAGCCACATTGAAACATATAATACACTGTTGTTAACTACAGTCACCCTACTGTGCTATTGAACAGCTGATATTATTCCTTCTCTATCGCGGTATGTTTATACTTATTAACCACCCTCTCGTCATCCCTCCCCACTGCCCTTCGCAGCCTCTGGTGTCTAGCATTGTGTTTTCTGCCTCCATGAGATCAACTTCTTTAGAGCCCACATAGCAGTGAGAACATGTGATACTTGTTTTTCTGTGCCAGGTTTGTTCCACTTAACACAATGGCCTCCAGTTCCATCCATGTTGCTACAAATGACAGGATTTCATTCTTCTTTTTTTTTTTTTTTTTGAGACAGAGTCTTGCTCCATTGCCCAGGCTGGAGTGCAGTGGTGCAATCTCAGGTCACTGCCAGCTCTGCCTCCTGGGTTCATGCCATTCTCCTGCCTCAGCCTCCCGAGTAGCTTGGACTACAGGCACCTGCCACCACGCCCAGCTAATTTTTTTGTATTTTTAGTAGAGACGGGGTTTCACCATGTTAGCCAGGGTGGTCTCGATCTTCTGACCTCGTGATCCGCCCACTTCAGCCTCCCAAAGTGCTGAGATTACAGGCGTGAGCCACCGCACCCGGCCCGATTTCATTCTTCTTTTGTGGTGGAATGGTATGCCACTGTGTATCTAACCCTCATGTTTTCAACCCTTCAAACCTCCACGGACACAGGTTGATCTCATATCTTGGCTGTCGTAAATGGTGCTCAGCACCCAGGAATGCTGCGATATCTCTCTGATAGACTGATCTCTTTTATTTTGGATATTTGCCCTGGTAGTGGGATTTCTGGGTCATCTGGTAGATCTATTTTTAGTTTCCCGAGTGTTCTAATCCGCTGAGATTCTGAAACGTTGTGTTTGGGCATCCAGCAGTCCCCTTTGCCCTGCCCAGGTGCCACAATCACAGGCTTTTCTACGAGAAACAGACTGAGGACAAAAAGCACGAAGGACAATCGTACAGACTCCAGGCATGCACTCACACAAATGGCACTTACCTTTGCAGGGCTGCTGCACCGAGCCTTCAGCGTTGTCTTGTTTAACACCAAGAATCGAATCCTGATACAGCAGAGGTCGGACACGAAAGTCACGTTTCCTGGTGAGTCCGTTCAACCAAGCCCCGGACTGAAGAGAGCATCTCATGTGACTTGACCGGAGGAATCTGGGACAGGAACTCTCTGGTGCTCAGTGCCGCACTGTGGTGAGCTGGCAGCTCATCCTGCAGAAAATCGGCAGCTTAGGCAGATGCTAATTATGCTGATAGCTCTTCAGTAGGCTGGGTTTTCTTTTTTAAAAAAGTAAGAAACTATATGAGTTTCTGGGTTTTTTTGTTTTGTTGTTTCTTTGCAACGGCAAGTTACTTAAATGCAGAGGAATTTATCAACCTAAGGATTTAGGGGATTAAAATAGCATTTAGCATAAAATTAACTAGGTAATAATAATAAAAATTATCTTACAGGTCTTAGAGTTTTAATTATCTTGTACTTCTTAAAATTACAACTTAAAATTTTTTTTTTTTTTTGGAGATGGAGTCTGGCTCAGTCACCCAGGCTGGAGTGCAGTGGCGCCATCTCGGCTCACTGCAAGCCCCGCCTCCTGGGTTCACGCCATTGTCCTGCCTCAGCCTCCCAAGTAGCTGGGACTACAGGCGCCCGCCACCACACCCGGGTAACGTTTTGTATTTTTAGTAGAGACGGGGTTTCACCGTGTTAGCCAGGATGGTCTCGATCTCCTGACCTCGTGATATGCCTGTCTTGGCCTTCCAAAGTGCTGGGATTATAGGCGTGAGCCACCGGGCCCGGCCAAAAAATTTTTTAGAGGGGAACAGCATTTACGTCAATTGTGGTCATTTAAAGTGTTTTGGCCTAGGCTGTCCTCAAATTTTCAAAACCAGACCTTGCCTGAGCCATTAAAGCGAATGGCTAAGCACGGCCAGCTGTGGCCGAGGTTTTCTCCTCCCTTAGTTCTTCCTCGGAGCCGCAGTGGGTACATCCTGCCCATTCCCAAACCCACCACCATACTTGCTGGTCAAGTTGTACTCACGGGCTCCTTGATGGAGCTGAATGCAAAGTTTGTTTCAGAAAAATTCAGGAGCTGCAAAGTTAAGAGGGTCAACTGTAGTACATAGTCAACAGTTTGCAAATAAAGCCCCTGGAGCTAAGATTTCCTATCATGTGTTAGCCGCCTCCAGGATACATAGGGGCAGGTGGGAGTACCAGCTCTTGTACTTGCAAGAGTGGATTCAACTTCAGCCAAACTCCTTGCAGAGTGACCGAAGGAAGCACTGAGGGTCTGAGGAACGAGAGGGAACAGAGATTTACTGAGGAGAGTGTGACCTCCCGTCATAGCGCTATTGCTGTTACTTGGGTAAATTAAGTAGAACCTCTCAGTAAGGAAACTTGGTCAAAGGTATTCCAGCAGTCTTCCTGTGAAACCATGCTCACTGATCACCACCCTCAAAGTGCAGCCCAGCTTCCTCAGCCCAGCTGGTGCAGCCACCCAGCCCACAGCCCCACCACCTCCTCCCGCCACCCCATGGCATCTCAGGTCCTCTGTGGGTACAAAACTGAGTAGGAACCAGTCCCTCTCCTAAGACATACTGGGATAGTGCCACGGGACATGTGTGTGCACATCTGCAGGAAGGGCCGCAGGAGCGGTCAGGGCCAGCCCCGCCAGGTGGTCATGTGGAAGACCCTCACCAAGCCCACAGCCGTGGAGGCTGGAGGCGAGTGCTGCTCTGAGAGCCCATGACAAACCCACTCCCCCCGCCAGGCTGTCTTCTGCTGATGACGGATGATGGTTTTACATGAAGCATCTGCATTTGTATTTAATATATTCACTTTTCAGGAATAAAGAGGGATGTTCCCACATGCATTTTTTCCAGGGTATTTTACCGACTCCTGTAGTAGCCACCCATTATACAACCCAGCAGAACTGGAAGAAAAGGATGCCATCGGAGTGAGGAGGGCAGCCCAGAGGCGTCTGCAAGCAGAGCTGGGAATTCCTGGGGAGCAGGTACACACAGCATCCAGTCTCAGCTGTGTCCACGGGAGTCCAGGTTGGCAGCGGGCAGACGGTGAACAAAGTCCAGGCTGGATCTACACCATTGACCTCATGAAGCACCATGAGGATGAAGGATGGGGCTGTGGATGGGGCTGTGAATGAGCTGTGAATGGGGCTGTGAATGGGGCTGTGAATGTAGCTGTGGATGGGGCAGTGTGAGTCCCTATGTGTCCCAGGCAGGGTTGAGACTGTGCAGGAATCTGTCGACCACACACCGAAGAGGAAATTCAAGCCGGGCGTGGTGGCTCACGCCTGTAATCCCATCACTTTGGGAGGCCGAGGCGGGCGGATCACAAGGTCAAGAAATCAAGACCATCCTGGCCAACATGGTGAAACCCCGTCTCTATTAAAAGTACAAAAATTAGCTGGGCGTAGTGGCACACGCCTGTAATCCCAGCTACTTGGGAGTCAGAGGTTGCAGTGAGCCGGGATTGTGCCACTGCACTCCAGCCTGGCGACAGAGCGAGACTCCATCTCAAAAAAAAAAAAAAGAAAGAAATTCAAGTGTAGAAAGAATGTCCAGGATCCTGTGAGCATGTGTTACCTTCATCCACTCAAGAACACGTTTAAGAGAGGATGGATGTTCTCCTGACAACGCTAGCCGGTTTCTACGGGGTTTTCTGTTGAGGATGTGTGTGTGACACGGTTAGTTCTTTAAATGAAGACAGACAGGTTTACTGGAACCAAGAAACCAAAGCCGGTTTATCATTCAGACTTGAGTCCACAAAAATTTACTTAGCTAAAATCGAGGTTTTGGAAATTATCAATTACCAAAGAAAGTGTTCATTTTCTGAGGAAAACAAATGTGTTTATTTTCTCTATTTTTCTGTAAATTCTGTGTTTTACATTAGCGTTGTTAACACTGCACCAATTTCTGTCAATAGATTTCTCCAGAGGACATTGTGTTCATGACAATCTATCACCACAAGGCAAAATCAGACAGAATTTGGGGAGAGCATGAAATTTGTTACCTTCTGCTTGTGAGGAAAAACGTCACTCTGAACCCGGATCCCAGTGAAACGAAAAGCATCCTCTACCTGTCCCAGGAGGAGCTGTGGGAGCTGCTGGAGAGGGAGGCGAGGGGTGAAGTCAAAGTCACCCCCTGGCTAAGAACCATTGCCGAGAGGTTTCTGTACCGGTGGTGGCCTCACCTGGATGACGTGACCCCGTTTGTGGAGCTTCACAAAATACACAGAGTGTGAGAGGCAGGGAGGTCGAGTCAGCCATGTGTAATGCCCTCAGTGCAGGCAGACGCACCATTGAGGCAATGATACACCCTCTCCAAAAAACAGGGCAAAAGGGGCACTTGATTGCCCATCATGTATAAATCACTATTTCAACCTTTTCATCAACTTTGTCATATCTTCATTTTCCCTTTTCCTTATTTCCATATTTCTCATCTGCCTGGTTGCAGGGAGGAAATTTAACATTTCCTTTGTCCCAATTTCCATTTTATAAGCACTTGTTTGATTAACAGCAGCTGATCCTGAAAGTCTTGGGGAGATCTTGAGAGTCCTGAAGCAGGCGGACTAGCCTGGCTGGACCATGAGGCTGTCTCCCCACAGCTTTATCCAAGCCTCCAAGGTCAGGATGGGATCTCTGTATCATGTTTTTCTTTTTAAATCACTTATTTCAGAGTGCAACACAAGGCTGCATTTTTAAAAAAAAGACACATTCAATCTTGCATCCTAATACAAGCAGTACGGAAGATGCGTATGGTCTCAGCCAAGTGACTCGACGTTTATCCACTTCTGTTCATTTGATCGTTTCAGTAATATGCTTACAAATAAAGACATACTTGCTTTAAAACATACTGTTGTTGTTTAACACAAAGTAAACTATATGTTAAGTTTTGGTGTTTAATACGGAGAAAGAATTTCAAAAACCAGACCTGGTATTTTTTTTTTTTTTTTGAGATGGAGTCTCGCTGTCGACCAGGCTGGAGTGCAGTGGTGCGATCTTGGCTCACTGCAAGCTCCGCCTCCCGGGTTCAAGCCATTCTCCTGCCTCAGCCTCCCAAGTAGTTGGGACTACAGGCGCCCGCCACCACACCCAGCTAATTTTTTGTATTTTTAGTAGAGACGGGGTTTCACCGTGTTAGCCAGGATGGTCTCGATCTCCTGACCTCGTGATCCGCCTGCCTCGGCCTCCCAAAGTGCTGGGATTACAGGCATGAGCTGCCGCGCCCGGCCATACTGTTGTTGTTTAACACAAAGTAAACTATATGTTAAGTTTTGGTGTTTAATACGGAGAAAGAATTTCAAAAACCAGACCTGGTATTTTTTTTTTTTTTTTCACACGGAGTCTCTCTCTGTCACCCAGGCTGGAGTGCAGTGGCACGATCTCGGCTCACTGCAACCTCCGCCTCTGGGCTCAAGCAATTCTCCTGCCTTAGCCTCCCGAGCAGCTAGGATTACAGATGCCCACCACCACGCATGGCTAATTTTTGTATTTTTAGTAGAGATGGGGTTTCACCATGTTGGCCAGGCTGGTCTCGAACTCCTGACCTCCTGATCTGCCCACCTCGGCCTCCCAAAGTGCTGGAACTACAGGCTTGAGCCCCTGCGCCCAGCCCAGCCCTGGTAAATTTTTAAAATTGCCACATGTAATCCAGAAGTGTGATTAACTAAAGTCCTTTCCTCAGCTATAATGTTGATTGTGTGACTTGATAACTTATCCGTGGTGGCTCTTGGACCCCTGTGTGTCTTTGGAGCTCCAGGAGCACACGGACCCCTGGGCAGGTCCCTCCGACCCCACAGCTCTTCACCCCAACGCTCCCCAGCAGGTGCTTTTGAGGTGGCATTGGCGGTGTTTTTGTGTTTTACTGAACATGTAACTTCAGGGACGGGCCACAGAAATAGGAGAATGCCCATATTTAATTGCCTAATGCCTCCAGCAACATTTTACTCCCCCAAAAGTATTTTTGCTTTAAAACAAAATAGAAATGTCATGTTGTTTGCCTTTTTATTTGGCCAAATCCATAGCGACTATAACTAAACCAAAACATGAGCTAAGTAAATGAAAACTACTTTCTTCTGGAGGTTTATTTTGGATAAAATAGTTGAAGACAGACTACAATGAGACATTGTAAAATAAGACTAGAAAATAATTTAAGAGCGTATTTTAAGCACGGGATTCCGACACACTCATAAACGTGTTTGCTCCCAGCTCTTACAAAAGAAAATAAGGTTTTTCTCCATCAAAAACAACCTAGTTAAACCAGTAAATCTTCCCAGTTCTGAAAATCTGAAGCAACTGATACTCCATTAAATGTGGAAACACTGTCTACTCAAAATATTTGTAATATTATGCAGTGACAAAAATTTCCCACACCTATATAGGGTTAACCATAGTTTTCAGCAAAGCAACAAGTGCTTTACTTATTTTGTCTTTTTCAGTTTATACAGAGCTCCAATTTCATGAAACCATACTGTGCCAAACCAGGAAATAAACAGCAACACTCTAGCGAAGCCACGCCAACCAAACGGATACTATCTCCTGTCCTTTTTACCAGCTTTCCTCTTCCCAGACAGCAAGTGCTTGGGCTTCATATCAAACACGTGTCTATCCGCCTCCCCTTTCTTCCCCAACCGATTCATCTTCTTCTGAGCATTCTTCATCATAGTCTTGGCTTTCTTCACCATCTAAAAGGAGGAGAAAAAAATAAAGTATGTTCATTACTTAAAACCAATTTTCCATTCTGAATTTCAACTACTGGGTAACAATCTGTTTAATGGCTCAGGTCTGCTCAGCGAAGAGACCCTGTTACATCTCTTTTCTCTTAAGCCCAGCACAGTTATCCCTGTTACATCTCTTTTCTCTTAAGCCCAGCACAGTTACCCCTGTTACATCTCTTTTCTCTTAAGCCCAGCACAGTTACCCCTGTTACATCTCTTTTCTCTTAAGCCCAGCACAGTTATCCCTGTTACATCTCTTTTCTCTTAAGCCCAGCACAGTTATCTGCAGGAACTCAATGAGTATTTTTGTATAAAGACTGGATGAAAATCATACCCAGGACAAGCTTTATACCCAGGACTAGATACACTTTAGACCTAGAAGGTTAGCACACATCTGTTTTAACTCCCTCTTACACAAGCTAAGGACTCAGGCCCATGAACCTGTTTTCCTCAGGTCTGACTGACAAGTGGCAATGCCAATATTAACAGCCAGGTTTCAAGATGGCAATGGCACAGAGGAGTGAAGCTCAGGCTTCCATGAAGGAGACTGCAGTTTATACACAGACTCTCCTGCATCTCCATTACCACAACGCTGAAACTAAAAGTTGTTGTGTTTAATAAAAGGACGTTTCAGCAAGACAGACTGTGTCCATCTTAAGTGTCTTTGCCAAAAGACGCTACAAATAAACTAAATGTGACTCAAGCTCTCCACCTGGGGGGAACAATCCTGCAACCTAAGGATGAGCAGGATCACCCGCCAATCAACCCAGGAGTTCCCTCTGCTGTTCCTCCCATGGGGGGCTTGCTGGACTTGAGGCCTCCTGGTGCTCAGCTGTGGCCACTTCCTGGCCCTCTTCAGACAGCAGGGTCTAAGCCCAGACTGCTAGTGCTGTCAGACCATGCTCTGGCCACCCTCCGCAAAAGCAAAGTGCCAAGGAGGGGTCCATCCAGGGCAGCTGTCAGGGGCATCCACCTGCACCCTGACCCGTGCTCTCCTCTAAAGGATGCCACAAAACGAGGGCATGCAGTACACACAACCCCTGCCATAGTTCCTGCAAATGGCAACTGCTGGTGTTTGCCCTGAACCCTGTGCAATAAACAACAGAGACTGTCATTTTATTACATTACACAACACAGAGACTGACCTTGACATCCCTAAGACCAGAAACGTCACGTGGAGTTCGAGAGCAACTCCCACTCCGGGCCACAGAGGACGGGGGAGCAGAGTCTTCCCGCTTTCTTTTCCTAGTGATGCTCCGGGATCTTCTTGCCTGGACTGCGTAATGGGCCTGCAAAGCAGGGGAAGCAATGCTCAGCGCTCAGGACCCCAGGTCCACTCCCAGGCTCAGTGCTCAGCGCTCAGGACCCCAGGTCCACTCCCAGGCTCAGTGCTCAGCGCTCAGGACCCCAGGTCCACTCCCAGGCTCAGCGCTCAGGACCCCAGCCCCGCTCCCAGGCTCAGCGCTCAGGACCCCAGCCCCGCTCCCAGGCTCAGCGCTCAGGACCCCAGCCCCGCTCCCAGGCTCAGAGCTCAGGACCCCAGCCCCACTCCCAGGCTCAGCGCTCAGGACCCCAGCCCCACTCCCAGGCTCAGCGCTCAGGACCCCAGGTCCACTCCCAGGCTCAGCGCTCAGGACCCCAGGTCCACTCCCAGGCTCAGAGCTCAGGACCCCAGCCCCGCACCCAGGCTCAGCGACAGGCATGAGGTCACTCCAGCAAGAGGGGAGGAGAGGAGCGTCTGAACCATTAACACATGGGCTAAAGGTCTTGAAAATACACGCAGTATTTTCATATTAGTGACACCATTTCAAGTTCACATTAGTAACAATTTCACATTAGTTGTTGGTCAAATATTCTTATTCACTTAACGGAAGCTGCTTTACGTAAGAAAGCTGATTTTAACTCCACTTAAAGAAACTTAGAACTCTCATTTAAAAGTGATTATTATAGTATAGCATCACAATTTATATTTCAGATATAAACAATGCTCTCTCCCTCACTGCCCCATTTTGGGGGTTACTGATATGAACACAAAGGGACAACCATCAGACAGAAACCATCAGACGGAAACTGCAGACTGCACATCTAGAGGACAGGGTCTGCAGCCACACCCTGGGCACGTCATGGTGCTGTCTCGTGCTGGCTGTGGAGCTTTTTTTTTTTTGAGACACAGTCTTGCTCTGTTGCCCAGGCTGGAGTGCAGCCTCAATCCACCACTTCAACCCAGACCCAGGGTCAGGGAATCCTCAACCCATCACTTCAAGTCAGTCCCAGGGCCAGCGAATCTCAAAAGAGAAAAACTGGAAGCTCTCATTTCTTTTTGCTGTAATTTCCCACGTTCCCACGGCTTTCCAAAACCCTGGTTTCTTTCTTTCTTTTTTTTGAGATGGAGTCTCACTCTGTCGCCCAGGCTGGAGTACAGGGGCACGATCTCAGCTCACTGCAATCTCTGCCTCCCAAGTTCAAGCAATTCTCCTGCCTCAGCATCCTGAGTAACTGGGATTACAGGCACACGCCACCACGCCCGGCTAATTTTTTGTATTTTTTTTAGTACAGACTGGGTTTCACCATGTTGGCCAGGCTGGTCTCGAACCCCTGACATCATGATCTGCCCGCCTTGGCCTCCCAAAGTGCTGGGATTACAGGCATGAGCCACCACGCCCGGCCAGTTTTCTTTATTAAAAAGGTGTATCCAGCCACATAAACACATGAACCGCCCCCACACTCACATCGTCTTTATCGTCCATGTCAACACCAAGACTACGCATCTCCTTCTCCAAAACTGTCCTCTGAACCTGAGAAGGATAAAAAGAAATATTAGCTTTAAATTAGTTTGATGAAATGTTGAAAAAAACTTCAAGGCAATATATATGTATACATATTTTGCAACAATTATAATATACTTATTTTAGAAGTTGTAATTTTTATTGGGCCCCGCTTTCATGTTTTTGGATAGCTCAATTAAATCCCACGAAAACTAACATTAACAGAGCAGTTGCTGTGGGAAGAATCAGCGTATCCTCCACGTCTGTCCATTCTTCACCGCAACACGGGGGAGAGAGTGACCGTCTCCATCAGAGGTGAGACACTAAAGCTGAGGTTAGTGAGGTGGCCTCAGACAAAGGCAGTGCGCCAACCTCTCTCCTCCCAGAGATGGCTGAGCCCCACCTGGAGAAGTACAAAAATGTCCAAGTCCGCCATAACCAGTCACTTGCCACCATGTGAAAACAGTGTATTCAAACAGGAAGACCCACTGAGAGGCATCCTGAATGTCAAGTGACTTCTCTGGTTACATGTTAACTGCCCTGCATGTGGGCTTTCTTCCCCCAGTCCCACCCTGCCACAGAGCCAATAAATTGCCTTTTGTAGACTGCGTCAGGTTTCTGTAAATTGCTAAAGAGTCCAGATTTTTTTTTAAATTTTTTATTTTTTGAGATGGAGTCTTGCTCTGTTGCCCAGGCTGGAGTGCACTGGCACAATCTCGGCTCACTGCAAGCTCTGCCTCCCGGGTTCACACCATTTTCCTGCCCCAGCCTCCCGAGTAGCTGGGACTACAGGCGCCCGCCACCACGCCCAGCTAATTTTTCTGCATTTTTAGTAGAGACGGGGTTTCACTGTTTTAGCCAGGATGGTCTCAATCTCCTGACCTCGTGATCCACCCACCTCAGCCTCCCAAAGTGCTGAGATTACAGGCGTGAGCCACTGCGCCCGGCCTAAAGAGTCCAGATTTAATGCAGAAATTAAAGAACAAGAAAACCAGCCGGGCGTGGTGGCTCACGCCTGTAATCTCAGCACTTTGGGAGGCCAAGGCAGGCAGATCACTTGAGGTAAGGAGTTTGAGACCAGCCTGGCCAACATGGTGAAACCCCATCTCCACTAAAAATACAAAAGTTAGCCAGGCGTAGTGGCAGGTGCCTGTAATCCCAGCTACTCGGGAGGCTGAGGCAGGAGAATTGCTTGAACCCGCGAGGTGGAGGCTGCAGTGAGCCAAGATGGCGCCATTGCACTCCAGCCTGGGAGACACAGCAAGACTCCATCTCCCCCCTAAAAAAAAGAGAGAGAGAAAAAAGAAGAGGAAAATGTTCACTGATAGCCTTGAACGTCTGTGAACCATAAGTTACAGTTTTAATCTGTACAACTGCAAAATGACTGGATCTAGAGTAGTGCCAAACTCGAAGCTGAAAGTCACCAAGAAAGGACGCAGTAAAGAATATAAAAGATCAATACGTGAGCGATCTTGCAAATCCATACACCAATAAAACAAGAATGTGCAATCTTATGGCCATAAATGGGTTGAAAAGTTGTTATTTAGCAATGATCACACAGGAATCCAATTTTCAAAAACTAGATCACACTGCTTTGGAAAGACACAAACTTGCCTTCTTAGCAGTTCGCGGCATCCTGGGTCCCTGTGTATTCTTTTCTTTGGACTCCAGAATTTTCAACTTCTTTTTCTCTCGAATTTGCTTTGCCAGCTGTCGGATTTCCAGCATCTCTTCGTCTTCACTCTCAGATACACTGTCATACTCTCCAGCAGCTGTTCTCAGCTCTTCTTCTTTTTCTAATTCTTCCAATTTCTTTAAAAATGGAGTTGTAATGAAGCAAAATTAACAATGAGAAAACCCCTGAGTCAGTGAGTGTGGCAGAGTGTGTATGGGAGCTTTGTTTCCCTGACTCAGAGGAGAGCGATTGCCCTGGTCCAGACCCACCTGGGCCCTGCCTATGTGCCATTTACCTCACAGGGAGGGTTCTGTGAAGAAAATGGAGACCACGTGAACGCCAGCCGCCAGCAAGTCAGTAACCCCTGTGCACCATTTCCTTTTTTTAAAACAATTAAATTCCAAGGCTAAAAATGTGCAGAGACCGCCTCCTTCACTTCCAATGCTCCCGGCAGACACACACAAGGAACTCAGTCCTGAGACACTGATTTCGTGCCACATCCCACGTGTCCGTTCTAATGTCACCCCAAATACAACCTCACTGGCTACAAATAAGACAAAAATGAAAACTAAAACACACACGTTTATCACCCCCCAATGAGGCAACCCGGCCAGGAGCCCAGCAGGCAGATGTGCCTGTACGAGATGCTGGCCAGCAGTGCAGAGGGTGAGACGGGGGCCAGGCCTCGTGGAAGGGGATGGCACGGGCACAGCTGTGCGGAGGAGGGAAGTCTCAAGGCTTCTTGCGCCCAAGAGCGCGCACTGCAGAGGGGAAGAGGCTGGGAAGGCAGGCGGCCACCGCGGGGACAGTGAGGGCACGGGCTGGACTGGGGCCCCAGCAGAGGTGACAGCAGATGCCCTGAGGCCACTCCTCCAGCACCAACGAAATTGAGATTGTTGCCCCCAGAATCTGCTATCCCAGAATCTGCTATGGAGGCACAGGGAGCACAGAGACCACGAGACTGAAAATGTGAACTCAATGACGGAGGGCCTGTGGGAACCAAGGAGTGGCAACATGGGACATGCAGATGGCAAGTATTGTATAAAAAGAATGTTCCAGAGAGCTCAGCTGAGAGAAGAAGGCAGGACAGCAAGTATTGTATAAAAAGCATGTTCCAGAGAGCTCAGCTGAGAGCAGAAGGCAGGACAGCAAGTATTGTATAAGCATGTTAGCATGTTTCAGACAGCTCAGCTGAGAGAAGAAGGCAGGATAGCAACTAATGGAGGACACGGTCTAAGGATGTTTTCGTTTTTTAAAAAGATGAGTAAAACTTGTGGACTTTTATATGCTAAGAAAAAGCAAGTAGGGAGGGGATTGAGGCAGGAAAAAGATGTGACACAGCGGAGCCCCCAAGGAAGAGGGTCCAGCACAGCAGAGTCCATTAAGGGCCTGGCGGAGATACAGGGTGGGGAAGGTGGTGCAGGGGGCACAGTCAGGATGGAGGGATGCAGGAGAATGAAGGGGCCCAGCATCTCCACCAGAGTCTCGGGGTGGGGGGAAGAGGTGCAGGAGGCACAGTCAGGATGGAGGGATGCAGGAGAATGAAGGGCCCAGCACAGCAGAGCCCATCCAGGGCCTGGCGGAGACACAGGGTGGGGGGGAAGGTGGTGCAGGAGGCACAGTCAGGATGGAGGGGTGCAGGAGAATGAAGAGGCCCAGCATCTCCACCAGAGTCTCGGGGTGGGGAAGGTGGTGTAGGGGGCAGAGTCAGGATGGAGGGATGCAGGAGAATGAAGGGGCCCAGCATCTCCACCAGTGTCGGGACAGGGAAGAGGTGCAGGAGGCAGAGTCAGGATGGAGGGGTGCAGGATAACGAAGGGGCCCAGCATCTCCACCAGAGTGTCCGGGGTGGGTGGGTGGAGGCGGCGGGAAGGGGGCAGGCCAGCATAGCAGAGCCCAGCCAGGGCCAGTATCTCCACCAGAGTCTCAGGGTGGGGAAGTGGTACAGGGGGCAGAGTCAGGATGGAGGGGTGCAGAATGAAGCGGACAGGCCCAGCTGAGCCGAAGCCATGCTGCTATCTTCCAGCAATACTACTATAATAAAAAGGAAAACAATCCGCAATTTAAAAAGTGACACAAACCTTCATGATGGCTGGATCAATATAATCAGCTATATTATGGCCTTCCCAGATTTCTGGTATCTTATCATGTTTTTCAGACAAATTCATTAAATCCCAGTACTCTAAAGTTAAAAAAAAGGTGGTTACGTTTACAGCAGTTTTTAATATCTTCAAGTACTACGTGCGCAAAATGAGTTGTGACTGACGGCAAATCAACGACTCCACTGCAGAAGAGAGCACGACGTGCAATTCCACATGCAGCAGCATCAACACATCAGCCTCATTCAACACCCACACGTGGAGAAAGCTACAGAAATCACCCCACCATCCCAAAACAACAGGAAACAACACATCAGCCTCATTCAACACCCACACGTGGAGAAAGCTACAGAAATCACCCCACCATCCCAAAACAACAGGAAACAACACATCAGCCTCATTCAACACCCACACGTGGAGAAAGCTACAGAAATCACCCCACCATCCCAAAACAACAGGAAACAATGGAAGAACCCCCACTGAGTGCTATCAGCATGCACCTTTCTTTGAGACAGAGTCTCACTCTGTCGTCCAGGCTGGAGGGCAGAGGTACAATTTCTGCCCACTGCAGCCTTGTCCTCCTAGGGTCAAGTGATCCTCCCACCTCAGCCTCCCGTGTCACTGGAACTACAGGCACATGCCACCACACCCGGCTAATCTTTGTATTTTTTGTAGAGACGGGGTTCTGCCATGTTGCCCAGGTTGGTCTCAAACTCCTGGGCATAAGGGATCCAAAGTGCTGTGATTACAGGCGTGAGCCACTGCACCTGGCCCTCAGGATGCAACTTTTAATCTTCAAGAAATTAAAAGTTGACAAATAGGCTGAAACACTTTTATTACTTATTAAAGTCTTTCCCCCATTTTCTGAAATACTTCACGTCCAATTGGCATTTTATAATAATGATCACACTCTGGCCCTTACTCTGAAGATCCAAAATATAATCATCTCCCATTTCCAGCTCAAGATCTCGTTCCTGCAATAGAAAGAGAAATTATCATCAGCTTCATTTTGCCTTTCAGATCCAGAAATGCTCTGCCCCTTGTCACTTGAAACAATCTTTTCTCCAATCCTCTCAGTATCAGTGGGGTTCACCTTCCATTTCTGGTAGGAAGGCTGTTTCTTATCTCCCTGTCTGCGGGGCCAGCCTTTGGGTTCTGGTAGGAAGAGGCTGTTTCTTATCTCCCTGTCTGTGGGGCCGGCCTTTAGGTTCTGGTAGGAAGAGGCTGTTTCTGGCCATCTGGGGACTGTCTATCCCACTCATGCATTTGGTTCACGGCCATCTTCCCTCAGGCCAAAGAGCCCCATGAGAGAGGCTTCTGCAGGGGGACTCACTGCTGTGTCCGCAGCCTGACGGGGCCAGTGTCTGGGCACCCGCGGCTCCTGTTCGATGCCCCAGGCCCCCACGATGGGCACACACAGCCTGCCTCCCCCCATGAGAACACTGGGCGAGAGCTTCGGCAGCATACCCTCTTCTTCCTGGACTCCTCAGTTTCCATCCTCTTCCTGCGAGCCACCACTCCTTCAGGGATGAAAGGGGGCCTCTCCTGAGAAGATCCCATATAAAATATTTATGTGAAATGCCTGCTGAATGAGAAACTTACAAAGCCGAAAAAGTAGAAACAAATTCCCTACGTGCAAGGGGAACAGAAAACCATACCCAGACCAATGAACAACCAACAGATTATTTTAGGGGAGAGGAGTGGGTTCATACCGAGACCAATTAACAACCAACAGATTATTTTAGGGGAGAGGAGTGGGTTCAGGGTCACTTTGAGCACAGAGACCAGGAGGACTCCACAAAGTGATTCCAAAGTTTATCCAGGAAAAACAGAAATCATGATTATCATGAAAAATTATGGAAGAAGAAAGTGGTAAGAAATAACACTGGATCAACAGATGAAAGAAATTTAGACATAAACTCAAGTGCATATAAGAATTCAATGGAAACATAAAATTTCCAATACTCAGGTCAGAAATGCCGACCACTTGAAACGGAGTGCAACCTCCACCCTCACAACATAACCAACTCAAGACACGGTGAAGACTATCCAAAAAAGCTAATTTTTAATGCTAGTATAAAAGATAATTTTTTTTTTTTGACAGAGTCTCACTCTTGTCACCCAGGCTGGAGTACAGTGGAGTGATCTCGGCTCACTGCAACCTCCACCTCCCAGGTTCAAACGATTCTCCCGCCTCAGCCTCCTGAATAGGTAGAATTATAGGTGCGCGCCCGACTAATTTTCGTAGTTTTAGCAGAGATGGGGTTTCACCATGATTGCCAGGCTGGTCTCAGACTCTTGACCTCAGGTGATCCACCCGCCTCGGCCTCCCAGAGTGCTGGGATTACAGACGTGAGCCACTGCACCCAGCAAGAAAAGATACTTTTAAAATGACTTTGGAATGAATGGTAAGCCTTTCTATGTACAATGCAAACCTGAACACCCAGAAAAAAAAATTAATATATGTTAATAGTTCAAAAATGTACAGCACATTTGAAGTTAAAAAGGCAAGTGACAAAAAGAGAAAAAAATTTGCAATGTATCTGACAAGAATCCAACCTTTGTAATACAAAAGTAACAAATCAGCGAGAAAAAGATAAACAGCCTAAAGAACTTTGAAAAGGCCAATAAGCAGACAAACATGCTCAACCGCACCCAGCATTACATAAACACACAACAATAAAATCATCTTTACACAAGACTGACAGTCAGTGCCCGACCACGCCGAGGACACAAGGAAAGACAGAGGGAAGGACACAGCCTCCAGCGTCAGTGCAGCACACACCAGGAAGGCGTCTGTGGGACAGGAACGTTGTCAACACCACATGGTGAAGTGCAGACACATTTGCAGTAAAACATGAAGACACAGCGTAACGATGTGTGCCCATTCACAATGGACAAAACAATGAAAATTTATTTTATTTATTTTTTATAGAGACAGGGTCCCACTATGTTGCCCAGGCTGGTCAAGAACTCCTGGGCTTAAGCAATCTTCCCACCTTGGCCTCCCAAAGTGCTGGGATTACAGGCGTGAGCTACTTCCCCCAGCCAAAAAAATGAAAATTTAAAGAATGAAACAGATTTCCATCTGTGTTTAAAGAACTTTTTAGAAACTAATCTTCTATATCAGAAACATTTCTGGAAGGATAAACTAACAGTGACCACGTCATGCAGTGGGAAACGGGTGCCATGTGGCGTTCTGCACTTTCTTCACCTTCTCGATCCTTTATGTAAGCAAGAAGGTGAAACTGAGGCCCACCCACAATATCCACCTGCGAGTGTGTGAAGCTGGATGGGAGGCTTCTGGAAAAGGCACGCAGACAGCACCTGCTGACAGTACTGTGAGCCCACGGCTGTCCCAGGGGCCGTCTTACCTTATCGTCCCTCCTGGTTGGGATAGCCAGGTGCAGTCTATTCAGCACCTCATTCACTTTATTTCCCTTCATTTTGGTTTCCACTCGATGAGCCAAAAGCCTATCGCAAGCCTAATAACGTAAAAAAGAAGGCACAGTCACAAACGCATCCTCCAGCAGCCTCCAGCTACAGGTTCCAGGAGGAGCCACAGATCAGAGCCACTGAGCCTTTTCCCTCAAGGTAACTAACACGTAGGGGGCCACATTCTCTGAGGCCCAGGTGGAAGCGGCCCTGAGGGAAGGTGCATCTCCAGTGCCTGGGCCTCTCTCCCACCACAGTGACCCTCTGCACAGACGGTGCCCTCCAACTGCCCTTCACGAACCGGAGGCAATGTTGCCCCTCAGGACTCTAACCGAGCAACAAATTCCTGAGTGCGACCATGGCATCAGGAGTGCCATCTTTTTAAATCCTGAGTGCGACCATGGCATCAGGAGTGCCATCTTTTTTTTTGAGATGGTATCTCGCTCTTGCTGCCCAGGCTGTAGTGCAGTGGCATGATCTCAGCTCACAGCAACCTCCGCCTCCCAGGTTCAAACGATTCTCCTGCCTCAGCCTCCCGAGTAGCTGGGATTACAAGCATGCGCTACCACGCCCGGCTAATTTTGTATTTTTAGGAGAGACGGAGTTTCACCACGTTGGCCAGGCTGGTCTCGAACTCCCGACCTTGGGTGATCTACCCGCCTCAGCCTCCCAAAGTGCTGGGATTACAGGCGTGAGCCACTGCGCCTGGCCAGAAATGTCCTTTTATTTGAGATAAAAACAACATGAAATACAAAGTAATTAGGACAGCATGTGAAATCCAGCAGCGGACTGCCTCCTGCAAAAGCTGTTCTGCTTTTCAGACTTTTCTCCCTTCTACTTCGAACAGGTTCCATAAAAATAATTTTCACTGTACTTGCTACCGAAATATTAAAAGGCCAGAGACAACAGCTGCTTTAGGGTAAAGTTGTTTGGGGTGAGAAGAGCAAAGCATCCCCTCACAACCCACTGTCCACGGGGGGCAAAGTGGGTCTTAGAAGGGTCTGTCTTCACGCCCCACTCTCGCACGCCACCCGCCTCGCTACTGCGAGGGCTCCAAGTGTTAACAATGTCTAGAAAGAAAACTATTTTCTCCCCACAACTGACTTGAATCAAACAAGAGACAGTAAAAAGACTAATACCTGACTTAAGGCAGCACTGACCTCTGTTTTAACTTTAATAACACCTTCCTCAGTCAGGGTGCTGGTCTCTATTACAGGGAATCCTTCAGACTGCAAATCTGTAAATATTTTCTGGGAATGCAAAGAAAAAACGAGAGATGTATTATTCATTTCCAGTTCCCTATGGAACAAACTGTACAGTTCTGCAAATGGAGGCTGCAAATGTGAACATCTGTGGTTGTTTCAAAGTCTTAAAAAACAGACATATCCTAAAAACAGTTATTTTCTTCATATTCTTCTATGATCAAGAAAACACAAATGACATCAAAAAGATGGCCGACTAGTAGCCCCTCACATCTGTCCCCCACAACAAAGGCAATCAGAATAACGAACAACTACATGTTAATAACTGAGGGGGAGCTCCAGAGGGCATCACAGGAGTAACAGGCACCCTGGGGAGCAGAAAAACGCAAGACGATGAAATACAGCCCAAAGAAAACACCAGGGGCCAGGCGCGGTGGCTCATGCCTGTAATCCCAGCCTTTGGGAGGCCGAGGCGGGTGGATCATGAGGTCAGGAGGTCAAGGTCACCCTGGCTAACATGGTGAAACCCTGTCTCTGCTAAAAATATAAAAAATTAGCCAGGCGTGGTGGCGGCCGCCTGTAGTCCCAGCTACTCGGGAGGCTGAGGCAGGAGAATGGTGTGAACCTGGGAGGTGGAGCTTGCATTGAGCAGAGATCACGCCACTGCACTCCAGCCTGGGGGACAGAGCGAGACTCCGTCTTAAAACAAACAAACAAACAAACAAACCAAAAAAAACACACTGGGCCGCCAGCAACCCACCCTACAGCTGGGATGCAACGGGACCCAGGAGGAGGTTCTCCCTACGGTGAGGGGGTAAGCAAGAGGATGGCAGCAGCCCTGCCACCACTCTGGACACCCACAGCCCTCACCACCGGAGCCCCCTGGCATCCTCACAGCTGTGCTCCCACACAGAAGGAGCTGACACTGGGCCCTGTCTGTTGGGCCCATGGGGCGGCTATACTCCATCATCTTGGGACTGGAACTGCGGCTGGAGTATGTCTTGCTCAGGGGAAGTGGCCACAGCTCCCCTTCATCCCTGAGGCTAAACTGCCTCCAAACTACCCAAACCTGGTGGCCCAACATCCCCAAGCCAGCTGTGAGCAGCTGCTACCCCTTCCCAGCAGGGCTTGGTGGAGGTGGAGCCCCTCTACTAGCCCTTGCTCTAGCACCCAACGGTACCCTGCCTCCTGGTAAATAGCACCGTGGCCTCTCAGGGAACGTTGTCTCCCTGCTGCCTGAGCTGAAGCAGTGCCCTGCTTCCTGGGAAATGCCCAGAATGGTCACATATCCCAGCGTCTATGCTGAAGAGGTACCTTGTATCCCAGGGCAACGGTGCCTGGGGCGCCCAGAAGAGTCACAACCCTCAGGCCCAGGCTGACCAGCCACATACCATGGGGAGGAGCTGACATTGTACTCCACACCCCAGGGAAACAGGGCAGGGGCTGAGCCGAGGCACCTGCCCCACCACGCAAACAGCTCCAGCACCTGCTCCCTGGAGCTGGACTAACCCTATATTCTGAGCTGCAGAGTCACCACTCTTTCCAGGAAATGGAGTCACTGCTGTCCTCCTCCCTGTCCTCTAGGGCCCAAATGACAGCTGGACTAGTCCATTCTGGGGTCCTTGCTGCCACCTCACCTAGCATCAGAGAGTCTGGGATACTGCTGGGCCCCACCATCCCAGGGTCCAGAGTTCCCCTTGAGCTGACACTAAGCCCTCCCTACTGGCTCAGGTTTCTGAAGTACAGCTCTACCCTGCTTCCCAGGCTCAAACCTCCAGAGTGCGTCTTCCCTGGAGTCAGGCCAGGACTGTGCCCTGACCCCACGGGTGGAGCCACAGCCACAGCCTTGCCCTGTGGGCTTAAGCTGCTAGGGGTGCTTCAGGATCAGAGATCCACCACAGAGAGTAAACCTGCACCCCAAGGCCAGGCCATGATAGGCACACAAGACCCTAAGGCTAGGACCCCAGTCCCACAGCTACCCTGAGTACCTGTAGCTGAAACCCAGCACTGTGGCAGCTGCTTGCAGACCATGTCAGACCTGACACCAAGAAAGATCCCCTCAGATAAGTCCCCCATTGCGGGAAAAACAAGAATAGCAGGACCCCAAAAGCCCCTGACACCAAGGACCTTAAAAACATACACCACCGCTGGCACAAACTTCCAGAGCTGAGGCCACTGAGCCACCCAGTTATTGCCAACATTTCATGGAGGTGAGGAAGCTGCACAGAAACAATGTCACTGCTCCTATCCAGAAAGTCACGGTTCTCTTCCCAAATGGCACAGTAAAACCCAAGTGAGGTGAAAACCTCTCCATGAAAGCCACTCTAGAAGAAAGTATAAAAGAGGCTCCTGTTCTACCAGATGCAGAGACATCAATGCAGGGACACAAGAAACATGAAAAAGCAAGGAAATAAGAAATCATGAAAGGAATATTAACTCTCTAGGAACAGACTCTAATGAAAAGGAAATCAATGAATTGCCAGAAAGAGAATTCAAAATAATAATTTTTTTGAAGGAAACTCAATGAGAAACAAAATACAGATAGATAATTCAACAAAATCAAGAAAACAATTTCATGATATGAACAAGAACTTAAACTGAGACAGAAATTGTAAAAAAGAGTCAAACAGAAATCCTGTAGCTGAAGAATTCAATGGATGAGATAATACAATAGACAGTTTTAACAGCACACTGGATGAAGCAGAAAAAAAATCTCTGTCATTTGAAACTACCTAGTCAGAGAGAAAAAAAGCAGGAAGAACGAAAAAGAATGAAGGAAGCCTATAAGATTTATGGGACAACATTAAGTGAATACATGCTGGCATTATGGGAGTTCAAGAAGGAGAAGAGAAGGGAAAAGGCTTAGTAACCTATTTAATGAGATAGCTGAAAACTTTCCAAGACTGGGGAGAGGTATAGACATCTAAAACCAGGAAGTTCAAGAATTCCCAAATAGAGTCAGCCCAGAAAGGTCTTCCCCAAGGCACATTATAGTCAAACTGTCAAAAGTCAAATATAAAGGAAATTCTAAAAACAGCTAGAGAAAAGCTTGAAGTCACATATAAGAAAATCCCCATTAGACTAACAGCAGATTTCTTTGCAGAAACCTTGCACGCCAGGAGACAATGGGATGATATATATTCAAAGTGTTGAAGAAAAAAAAGAAGACTGCCAGCCAACTATATTACATCCAGCAAAGCTATCCTTCAGAAATAAGGGAGAAATAAATTCTTTCCGAGAAAAGCAAAAACAGAGAATTCGTCACTACTAGACCAGCCTTACAAGATATACTTAAGAAAGTCCTACATCTGGAAGCGAAGACAATAATCACTATCATGAAAACATGAAAAAGTATCCAAGAAATTCACTTAACCTGTAAAGACATTAAGACACACATAGACTGAAAATGAAGAGATGCAAAAAGATATTCTACGCAGATGGAAACTAAAAGCAAGTAGGAATAGCTATACTTCTATCAGATAAAGCAGATTTTAAGTCAAAAACAATAAAAAGAGACAAGAAGGTCATTATATAATAATAAAAGGGGTCAATAATATTTGGGGACATCAACATCAGACTCGCAACATTAGACAGATCCTAGGCAAAAAAGAATCAACAAATACTGGATTTAAAGTGCACTGTAGGCCAGGCGCAGTGGCTCACGCCTATAATCCCAACACTCTGGGAGGCCAAGGTGGGCGGATCACTTGAGGTCATAAATTCAAGACCAGCCTGGCCGGTATGGTAAAACCCTCTCTACTAAAAATACAAAAAATTAGCTCGGTGTGGTGGCGCACGCCTGTAATCCCAGCTACTCAGGAGGCTGAGGCAGGAGAATCACTTGAACCTCAGAGGTGGAGGCTGCACTGAGCCGAGACCGTGCCACTGCACTCCAGCCTCAGTGACAGAGCGAGACTCCATCTCAAAAAAAAAACAAAAATAAAATAAAAAAAAAAGTGCACTGTAGACCAAACATCTACAGAACATGTCATCCAACCGCTGCATAAAACACATTCCTCTCCTCAGTCCATGAAACATTCTCCAGGATAGACCATATGTTAGGCCACAAAACAAATCTCATCAATTTTTAAAAATTGCCAAGTATCTTTTCAGACCACAGTGGAATAAAACTAGAAATCAATACCAAGAGATACTTTCAAAACTGTAAAAAAAAAAAAAAAAACCACCCATGAGAATTATAAACATGTCCCAGAATGACCAATGGATCAATGAGGAAATTAAGGAAGAAATTAAGAAGGTGATGCTGACATTGCTGGGCCAGGACCACAATTTGAAAGCCACTCCACCAGTGCACGCTTCTAAAAGCATTTATCATGAAGGATGCCTATTAAAAAGGTTGTAGGATTCAATCAGTTTGAAAAATTATGTCCAACAATACTGCCTGCCTCTTGGAGAAAGCTAGCAGGCACGTCTCACTCATAGATCCAGATCCAGAAAGCCCAAATTCCAAGATCCTCCTTCTCCTTCACTCAATCATTAGTCTCCAAACTCATTTAATCACAGAACCTGTTTTATGAAGTAACACCTGTGAGCACCCTTCTCCAACAGTTCTCTCCTAAGTAATCACATTTTCCAAAAGTCCAACCCATCAAATACAGATGCTTCCACACACTCAAGAACAAAGAATCCAGAAACTTATGTTTTCGTTTTAGTTTGCCAATAACTAAGTTTTTATTATGTCTTTTCACTAAACCACTGAGGATATTATCTCAACTATAAAATACAATTGTGGACTAGTATTGCTAAAATTCCTTCATCTAAACTTTGGTTGTCTGAGATGAGAATTCAGAATTGGTAAGTAAGAAATATTCAAAATATTAACGTGATTTACCTGATCATCTTCAGAAAGTTCAGCTATTCTCTTCACATCACATTTGTTGGCTACAACTATGAGAGGCTAGGCAAGGAAGAAAAATAATGAAATCATTATTCTCGTACTGCAGGATATGAAGCAAAACATGAGTGACCACACACACCTTGTTGATGAAGAGAGGTCTGATGTTCTGGAAGAGTTCTAGCTGCTCCCTCAGCCCATGCCCACACTGCTCAGACAAATCCATCACATACAGGACCGCAGCACGGAGGTGGGCCAGGGCAGTGATGGCCTGCATCTCGATGGTGTTCCTATCCTCCAGAGGGTGGTCCAGGATCCCAGGAGTGTCTACAACCTAACACAGCCAGACCTTGTCACTGAAAGCACACTCACCCACAAGCTTCTTGTCCAGCACATCCCAGAAGTCACTCACACACACCCAACCAGACCTAATAATCTTACAGCAGAATTGTAGTTAAAAAAAAAAAAAAGTAGGGCTGGGTGCGGTGGCTCACACCTGTAATCCCAGCACTCTGGGAGGCCGAGGCGGGTGGATCACGAGGTCAGGAGATCGAGACCATCCTGGCTCACACGGCAAAACCCCATCTCTACTAAAAGTACAAAAAATTAGCTGGGCGTGGTGGCGGGCACCTGTAGTCCCAGCTACTCGGGAGGCTGAGGTAGGAGAATGGCGTGAACCAGGGAGGCGGAGCTTGCAGTGAGCCAAGATAGCGACACTGCACTCCAGCCTGGGTGACAGAGACTCCATCTCAAAAAAAAAAAAAAAAAAAAAAAAGTAGGTCTCCCAAACTGAATACCACAAAATAAACCAGTGACAGAAAAGTACATACTATTTAAACATCAAAAAAGGGAGGAGGAACCCTGTAGAGCTCAAAGAAATGCTAGCCATGATGTTGAGAGAAATGACTCCTCTTTTTACCAGCGACATCATAAAACACAAAAACTGGGATAACTGAGAACCCTCCCATGTCTTAGGAATTACTTTCTTCACAATTTACAAAATTAGAGTGTGGAAACATTGCTTCTTGCTTTGTATTTATTTATTTTTTTTGAGACAGAGTTTCGCTCCTGTCGCCCAGGCTGGAGTGCAATGGCACAATCTCGGCTCACTGCAACCCCTGTCTTCTGGGTTCAAGCGATTCTCCAGCCTCAGCCTTCCAAGTAGCTGGGATTACAGGCACCCACCACCACGTCCAGCTAATTTTTGTATTTTTAGTAGAGATGGGGTTTCGCCATGTTGGCCAGGCCAATCTCGAACTTCTGACCTCAGGTTAGCTGCCTGCCTTGGCCTCCCAAAGTGTTGGGATTACAGGCGTGAATCACTGTGCCCAGCCTGCTTCACGCTTTTAAACTGTATATATGCCATTTCTGATAACAGAGTTAGAAATGACACAAAGATAATTTCATTTTATGTTAAGAAAATGCAGAAATCCACACTGGCAGCTGGCTGCCTCCCCTGAATTATATCAGAGACATGCGACCTGTTCTTATGCATCCCAAGAGCTCAGATGAGTTTTCTTTATGATGATGGAGAAATTTCAAGTTCTTGATAAACCAAGATATTTGTTCTGTTTAAAGACAAGACTCTTGCCAGGTGCAGTGTGACTCACACCTGTAATCCTAGCACTTTGGGAGGCCAAGGCGGGCAGATCACCTGAAGTCAGGAGTTCAAGACCAGCCTGGCCAACATGGTGAAACCCCCTCTCTACTAAAAAAACACAAAAATTGGCCGGTCGTGGTGGTGTGCACCTGTAATCCCTGCTACTCGAAAGGCTGAGGCAGGAGAATCACTTGAACCTGGGAGGTGAAGGTTGCAGTGGACTGAGATCATGCCACTGCACTCCAGCCTGGGCAACAAGAGTGAAACTCCAACTCAAAATAAATAAATGAATAAAAATAAAGACAAGACTCTCACCTGCCAACGTAGATACTTATAATCCATGTGCCCAACAAACAGAGACTTGGTTGTGAACGCATAGGGCTGGACATCCACGTCTGCTCTCGTCACCTGGAACAAGTGAGAACTTTCAGAATCACCTCATTTCCTCTGTGTACACGTGGGATCTGTGTGTTTTAACAAGACTGATTTTGGGTAGGAAATAACCATAGAAGAAACCTCACACGATAAAACTGCATCGAATAGGAGCCTGGTACCTCTCCCTTTGCACCACCAGGCCAAGGACTGGGGTACTAGGACAGCGTGAGGGCTGGCATTTGGAGGACAGCCACCACCTCCCCTCACCCTCCCAAGTCCTGCCCCACCGCCTGCAATGCCCGCAGAGCTCTTTATGATGACAGGCATGTTCTGTCTGCACTGTCCAAACCGGGCCACCAGTCATGCACTGCTAATGAACTTTCAGTATGTGGCTCATGTGACTGAGGAGTTGAAATTTTCATTTTGCTGAATTAAACTGCAATTTAAAAAGCCACCCAGTGCAGTGGCCACCAAATCGGCCACAGAGCACTGGCTCAGAGCTCAGGGCAGGTTCAGAGCTGACAAGCATTTGAAAAATCAGCAAGGACCCTGCAGAGCTTTGCTGGTCACCATGTCACAGCAACCTGTAGACAAAATAAAACTCACAAATCTATTTCAAAGCAAAAGTGATCTTAAGGTAGGGTGGAGTGATTCATGCCTGTAATCCCAGCACTTCAGGAGGCTGAGGCAGGAGGATGGCTTGAGCTCGGGAGTTTGAGATCAGCCTGGGGAACACAGTGAGACTCCATCTCCACAAAAAATAAAAAAATTAAACAGGTGCGGTGGCGTGCACCTGTGGTCCCAGCTACTTGGGTGGCTGAGGTGGGAGGACTGTTTGGGCCCGGAAGGTTGAGGCTGCAGCGAGCCATGTCTGCACCACTGCACTTCAGCCTGGGCAACAGAGCGAGACCCTGTCTCAAAAAGAAAAAGTTTCAACAAAAAGAAAGAAAAAAATTTTTTTAATTAAAAATAAAGTGATCTTGGCACTGAGTAAGCCATAAAATTTGACCATTTTCTTGGCACATGAGCTGTTGCTGGTTGTAAATTCACATTTTAAATGTTGCTTTGCCTCTTCCTGAGTCCCTGAAACTCAGCCAAACTTTCCTGAAGCAACAAATGACCGAGTCCCTTAAATGTTACACTTATCCTAGTCAGTGAGCTCACCCAGGGAAAGAGCGACTCGGCACCGTCCCTCTACTAGACCACATACGATTTCATGTGAAAGCTGACACAGCAACCAAGGTAACAGATCACTCAGATGCAGCTGCAGACGGGAAGACCCCAGCTGGGTGAGTGTCACCTGCCACCGGAGCCCCGCTGGCATAGCCACTCCAGGACAGGCCAACAACACCCAAGAAAACCTCCCCAGTTGTCAACAAAAATGCACTTACATGTCTCAAATTCCTTAGAAATTATAGGACACACACAAGAACAAAAAGTAATGGCTTCTGTAATAGTAATATAAATGTAGATACAGACAAAGTAAATCCTCACCAAGAGGAGCTCGGCGTGCTCAGGCACCGGGAACTCCTGCAGACCAGGGCAGTGTTTTACTCAAGGACCAACTCGGAGGCCGAAATTATTACCAAGGCCGTCCTGAATCCCACGCAGTCAGAATACAGTTAACACTGACCTACAAGGCCATCCTGAATCCCACGCCGCCAGAATACAGTAACACTGACGTAAAATAGTCAGATGATTTGCTTTACGATAAAAACCAGACCAACCTTGTTGATGAAGCTGGACTTCCCAACATTTGGGTACCCACACAAAAGCAGGGTCCTGGTATTCGGATCAATGGTTGGCAAACGGGATAAATGCTGACGCACTAGGAAAAGTTCAAATTGAAAAATTAAGAAATTCAAAGTTTAAGATTTGCTTTAAATTTTCTTTTCAACTTAGTTACAGTCCAGGCCTATGGTGATATTCATCTTACTCCAACTTTTGTAATGCAAAAGTGATGGAGAAAATAGTTGCAGAAAGTAATAGTATACACATAGTATATTCAATTGCTATCTCCCAAGTTTGGCTCTGGTAAGAATCATATTCCTCAGCCCTTCTAAGCCCACGTTTTAATTCATTAGGTGACAGGTGGGGCCAACAGCATGTCTGGCAGTGTCCAGACAATTCTCATTAGCAAGATGACATTAGGGAACCAGTGCACTTTGAAGCCTGCAGGCCATGCCGTTTGGGCTACAACATGGGTTACTGCCACTCTGCCACCTCGTCTGTAACAAACACGGCTCCAGGGTGGCACCCCGGCCATCATGAAGACCACACAGATCTGTAGCAAAGCACCTGCAAGGCATCCAAGTATCACAAATTTTGTTAAAAATTATTTCTAAGATGCAGGAGAGAAAACAAAACCGAATGAGTCAAAATAATTTGTCATGTAAGAATACACACAATAAGCAAGTAATTGTTTCAACAGAATCCTAGTACATTAATTCAGAAAGTCCTATTAAATACAAGTGTTTTTAAAAATAAAAAAGTCAATAATAAACTATGAGCCACCTTAGTTTTTATACTTTTCAGTATTTTCTCGTGACTTTTTTGTGTATGCCTTACCTATTAAATATGAAATATATAAATTTTCTTATCAGTGCTATTGATTTGTAAGTATTTATTTTCAATAAAAACCAGCCTATTACTGTTTCTCATAGGTAAAGCTAGGAAGAATAACTGACCCTGTCATCTCCAAAATACAAGAAAAACAGACATCTCAAGTCCTCAACAAGGACGCATCCTCTCAGCAGGATGCTAGCACGGTTCCCGCGGATGCGTGACAAGCACCTTGCTCCAAATACTCCAAACTCTGCTTCTGCCTCTTGATCACTGTGCACATCCGTCCCAGGGCCGCACGCTTCAGCTGTTTGCAGCGGTAGAGAGAGTCGCCATACTTCATCAGTCGCACATAATCTTTAGCAACACTGTAAAAAATAAAAAATATTATTTTTTCCACTTTCGATAACTTAAAAGACACTACAGAAAAAAGTACCTTACTTGTCCACTAAATTTTTGGCAATATTTATTTGCCCCAGAGCCAACTTGTAATGATCCTTGTCGTAGAGAATATTCATCAAATCAGCATAGAACGGATGAATATCCTGTAACAAACAAAAGCACACCACGGTCACTTGGGGCCAGCAGTTTTTCATCCCTACCACTTGAAGAACAATTTCTTTCCCTCTCCCTCCACGCCTGCAGTGTCTCCTCCCCAGTTCCCTCTCCTGGCCAGGGGCCCTGTCTATTTAGTCCTCTGAGAAAACAGGCATCAGAAGGGATGCGGGTGCCGACAGTCACGGCTCCCACCCACCTCGCTCTCAGTGCAGTGGTAGAGCTGTGGGACCCAGCAATGACCAGCCCCCGACCCTGCATGTACCCTTCCTGTTGCTCAGGAACTCAGCACTAGAAATTCTTCCCTCCACCTGACTATTCCCATCAGCCTAAAAATTTGCTGTTATTTCTCAATCTTTAGGAAAAAAAATCAAAAATTCCCATAGCCCCAAAATCCTTCCAATTCCCTCTCTTTGCTCCCAAGACACACTGTGTCTCTCCTCTCCTCCCTCTCTTGAACCCACTCTCTCCAGAATTCTGTGTCCACCACTCCATCTAAACAGCCTACAAGCTCACCAAGGACCTCCCAATGACCAATTCTCAGTTTTTATCTCACAGACCTCTTGAAACGCTGCGGGCTGGCCATGCATCCTGCCTGCGGTATTTTCCTCACAGCTTCTAGGTGGAGAGTCTGACCCCTCTAAGTCCTGTGCTGGCTAGTGCTCACAGCTCTACCCCAAACATTCATGCTCCCCACAGCACCCTTCTTCCTACATTCCCTTCCAAGGTGATCTCAGATAGATTTAAATGTCGTCTACATTTTACTAATGCATTTTAAATCACCAGGCCAGCATCTCCTGAGATATCTCACCAGTGCATATAAACTCGACCCTTGACTACCACCTCCAATCCCATGTCCCAGTGTTCACCTCCCTAGCCTGCCCCACCTCCTGGGTCTCCTGCACCTGCTGCTTCTTTGACTACAGGCCTGACACCCTCTCCCCGCACAGATACTCCCTACTCCCTTCCATGGCTTCACTGCATTCATCTGACATGCTATTTACTATCTTTTCTCCACCAGAATGAGAGCAGGAACCTTTACCACTTCTGGATTCCTAGGACTCAGAACAGTACCTGACAGACAATAAGCATTCAGTGAATGACAACTTAATATCTAACCCTCCACTCTGAAGCTGTTCTCAGATAACTAGTCCTGGCTTTAAAAAGAGTAATAGAATGTTAATACATTTGAACTCTCCTACCTCTGATGGCTATAACACTGAGGATGAAAAAGACAAAACTTCTTAAAAAGAACCACAAAAATCTGATACTAAGTAGATCAAAGTATGTTGTTGGCTAAAATCAAATATTTCCTAATATCAAATCAGTTAAGAATAATCTCATTCTTGGCCAGGCACTGTGGCTTATGTCTGTAATCCCAGCACTTTGGGAGGCCAAGGCAGGCGGATCACCTGAGGTCAGGAGTTCGAGACCAGCCTGGCCAACATGGAGAAACCTCGTCTCTACTAAAAAAACACAAAAATTAGCCGGGTATAGTCGCACATGCCTGTAATCCCAGCTACTCGGGAGGCTGAGGTGGGAGAATCGCTTGAACCTGGGAGGAAGAGGTTACAGTGAGCTGAGATCACGCCATTTTACTCCAGCCTGGGCAACAGAGCAAGACTGTCTCAAAACAAACAAACAAACAAACAAACAAACAAAAATCTCATTCTTAAATCACTTTCTTCACCCCCAGGTACTCTCTAGTACCTGACCTTTCCCAAGAAACCATTCACTCATTCAACAAACATCTACTGAGCAACTGTGTCAAATCCTAGCTAGACACAACCTAAGTGTCCGTCCTCTAGCAAGAATTTTTGTATTTTAAGCACTTCTGTATTTTAAAAATAAGCCATTATTGGACAGGTGCAGTGGCTCACACCTGTAATCCCAGCACTTTGGGAGGCCAAGGCAGGCGGATCACCTGAGGTCAGGAGTTCGAGACAAGCCTGGCCAACATGGTGAAACCCTGTCTCTACTAAAAATACAAAACTAGCCGGGCGTGGTGGCGGGCACCTGTAATCCCAGCTACTTGGGAGGCTGAGGCAGGAGAATCGCTTGAACCTGGGAGGTGGAGGTTGCAGGGAGCTGAGATTGTGATACTCTGGCTTAAAAAAAAAAAGCCATTATAACTTGTTTAAATATGAAGTACTGTCACAGAAGCCAAACATTTCTCTCTGCCTACACCTGCCTTCAGGGACTATTCTGGGGCAACGGCAGATTTAGGCTTTGAGACTATACTGCTGATCCCCACGCCCTTCACAACCTCAATTAACCTTGCAACCACATTACCCCACACATGGTGTCATAAGGCTTTGTTAGTTTGCCAGGCAGTTTCTGCTCTTGCTTTTCTACAGCTAAAGAAACAGGCAGGCCAGGCGTGGTGGCTCACGCCTGTAATCCCAGCACTTTGGGAGGCTGAGGCAGGTAGATCATTTGAGGTCAGGAGTTCAAGACCAGCCTGGCCAACATGGTGAAACCCCATTTCTACTAAAAATACAAAAATTAGGCGTGGTTATGCACCTGTAATCCCAGCTACGCGGGAGGCTGAAGCACAAGAATTGCTTGAATCCAGGAGGTAGAGATTTCAGCGGGCTGAGATCACGCCACTGCACTCCAGCCTGGGCAACAGAGTGAGACTCAGTCTCCAAAAAAAAGAGAAAAAAAGAAACAGGCAAACTGCAATGTGCAGCAGAGAAAGGAGCTCAAGGTTTCTGGCTTCATTCAAAAGTCATAGCTCCCATGTGATCTCTCCTTGCCAAAGAAGAAAACAGTCAGTGCTGAACTGACTGTCATCAGCTGATGAAGCAACAAGATCACAAACAGTGGTGGATCTTACACCACTGACCCAAGCTGAGCCCAGAGGAAAAAAAAAACCCTTGGAAAGAAGGTGGAAGAGATAAAGCCCAGACAACCAGTGAGCTGCTAGCTTCTGTGTTCATAACCCACAGCTATCATTAACACTTGGGTTGGCACCTGCAAGCCCAGGGTTTACACAGAAAGCCTGAGAAGACAGCTTGGGGCCTCCTTAGATGGGTTTTGGTTGGAGGAAAGAAAGAATACTAGGGAATCAAAAAACCCAAATTCTGTTCTCACTTTTATAAATTCAACAAATTAGTTCTTTGCCACTAACTTACTGAGTAACCTAAGTCAATTATTTTGTTTCCTTTTCTGTCAAATGAGTACACCAAACTGGTTAAACACTGGTTCTCTGAAAGCCCGTATTTACATAACCACAGAAGTCCCCTAAGTCACTTACATCCAATTTGGGGAAATCTGTTAGAATTTGTGAAAGTCTATCATGGTAATTCTGTTGAGTAAATTTGACTTTTCTCATGTAAAAATGTCTAATGCGATGTATTTGGTAATGTTTATGAATAACGGTTGGAGTCTTTCGTTGAGTCTTCGACAACGTGAGGTCTATGAAGTCCTGCAATTAAAGAAAATAAAACATAATTACATCAAAAGGGTCTACTTTTGAGCCATTTATTTGAAACCTTCCTTTTTTTTTTTTTTTTTGAGACAGAGTCTCGCTCTGTCGCCCAGGCTGGAGTGCAGTGGCACGATCTCGGCTCACTGCAAGCTCCGCCTCCCAGGTTCATGCCATTATCCTGCCTCAGCCTCCAGAGTAGCTGGGACTACAGGCGCGTGCCACCACACCCGGCTAATTTTTTGCATTTTTAGTAGAGATGGGGTTTCACCATGTTAGCCAGGATGGTCTTGATATCCTGACCTCGTGATCCACCTGCCTCGGCCTCCCAAAGTGCTGGGATTACAGGTGTGAGCCACCACGCCCGGCCCTGAAACCTTCTTAAAACACTAATATCTTACAGTACTACATATTTTAAATTACAAAAATTTACTAAACGTTTCATGTACAACCTTGTTCATCTTGAAACACATGGCTAAGATAAATTTTACACCGGCCGGGCGCGGTGGCTCACGCCTGTAATCCCAGCACTTTGGGAGGCTGAGGCGGGCGGATCACGAGGTCAGGAGATCGAGACCATCCTGGCTAACACGGTGAAACCCCGTCTCTACTAAAAATACAAAAAATTAGCCGGGCGTGGTAGCGGGCACCTGTAGTCCCAGCTACTCGGGAGGCTGAGGCAGGAGAATGGCGTGAACCCGGGAGGCGGAGCTTGCAGTGAGCCGAGATCGCGCCACTGCACTCCAGCCTGGGCGACAGAGCGAGACTCCGTCTCAAAAAAAAAAAAAAAAAAAAAAAAGATAAATTTTACACCATACTTTCTTGATGCTATCTTAATTTCCAAACACCTAAGAACCTTTGAAACTTAAATAATCAGAGAATTCAAACCATAAATTAGAATAGTTGAGAAAAAGAAACAATCCTCCCATTTGTTTATGCATACCCTTGACTTTGAAAGTACATAAAATAACAGGTAAAACTAAAATCCACTGTTTATAATTTCCAAAGAGATGGAAGGGAACTATTTGAGGAGATGAAGGATTTTTGCATGAGTTACCCAGTGCAAAGAGTCAGCACTTCTCTTTAATAAGGATCCGATCCCCAGGATTCCTAAATCCAATGTATCTAGCCACACAATATTACTTGACCTTTTTTCTTGAACACTTTGATTAATTCAACAATTTGATTAACTCAATATTATTTCATACAAAGGTTGTTAGGGATACTTGGGTGCTGAGGATAATGAACAAGATACTGTCCCTTCCTTCACGGAATTCAGGGTCCAGTGACAGAAGTAAACAGGTGGGCACAACACAGTCTGCCAAGTATTGTACTATGAGGGGCACGCCCAGTCTCCCCTCTGGGCCTACAAGTGAGACAAGTAAATGGGTGGTCACAACAGTCTGCCAAGTACTATAAGGGGCACACACTGTCTCCCCTCTGGGCCTACAAGTGAGACAAGTAAACGGGTGGTCACAACAGTCTGCCAAGTACTATGAGGGGCACACACGGTCTCCCCTCTGGGCCCACACAAGATCTTCTCTACGTTCTTCTGCACCTAATGCCGTTCGCACATCCTGAAGGGGGACCAAGTCAAAGGTTACCTACTTCATAAGGTTCCCCCTGACTCTCCAACTTACCACAGCTAACCACACTCTTCTCCTCTCCCAATCCATGTGTGTCCTCCATGATAACAATGTTTTATTTCTAGTATGGTCATACGAGATATGACTTACCCCACTTTTTTTTTTTTTTTTTTTTGAGATGGAGTCTTGCTCTGTTGCCCAGGCTGGAGTGCAGTGGCGCGATCTCGGTTCACTGCAAGCTCTGCCTCCTGGGTTCAGTTCACACCATTCTCCTGCCTCAGCCTCCCCAGCAGCTGGGACTACAGGCGCCCGCCACCACGCCTGGCTAATTTTTCTGTATTTTTAGTAGAGACGGGGTTTCACCGTGTTAGCCAGGATGGTCTCGATCTCCTGACCTCGTGATTTGCCCGCCTCAGCCTCCCAAAGTGCTGGGATTACAGGCGAGAGCCACCGCACCCGGCCTCGACTTACCTCTCTTGAAAATGACTTCCAAAGAGGCAGGTATTTTATCTAATGCATTTTTGTAACACAGTACCCGATGCACAGGACAGGCACTCACTCAACATCTTCTAGAATGAACTGAATACCACACTTTCCCGATGTGATTTTTTTTTTTTACTTCCAATCACCAAACAATTACCATCACCCAGTTTTTAGATAAGTCATCTGTTCTCTAAAAATATAAATCTCACTCCACAGAACAGAAGACGGATGGTGTATAATATATTCTAAAGTTCTCCACATAAGTCAATAACATGAACAAAGTTCATATAATCCAAAGAGCAAATTCCTTCAACAAACCTGAGAGATGGTTGACCAAAAATACAAATAAGACATGACTCCTGCACTCGAAAATACTACAATCTGGCTGGGCACAGTAGCTCATGCCTGTAATCCTAACACTTTGGGAGGCTGAGGCAAGTGAATCACTTGAGATTAGGAGTTCAAGACCAGTCTGGCCAACATGGTGAAACTCCACTTCTACTGAAAATACAAAAATTAGCCAGGCCTGGTGGCGCATGCCTGTAGTCCCAGCTACTCGGGAGGCTGAGGCAGGAAAATCACTTGAACCTGGGAGGCGGTGGCTGCAGTCAGGATCACACCACTGCGCTCCAACCTGGCCAACAGAGCGAGACTCCATCTCAAAAAGAAAGAAAGAAAATACTACAATCGATCAAGAGATGTGCCAGAACAACTGTCAGGAAGAAATAAGAAATGGTGGAGAGAAGTGGGGAAACAACTTTTGCTATGAAGGTAAAATACGAGACTCCCACAAAGCTTTCCAAGGCAAGCTCATCCCGTCCTTGAGACCTGAAGAAAAGGAGGCACTGACGAGGGGAAAACAGTCACTCTGCAGGGACTTCAGTAACTCCCTCTCGTGCAGGAGTCCCTGGGAGGCTCCAGTTGCCCGTCAATGTCTGTGTAATTGCGACCCAAATCGAATGTTCACTACATAAAAACGTGACTTCTTAAAAGTCCTAATACTAGGGCCGGGCGCAGTGGCTCACGCCTGTAATTCCAGCACTTTGGGAGGCCGGGGCGGGAGGATCACCCGGGATCAGGAGTTCGAGGCCAGCTTGGCCAACGTGGTGAAACCCCGTCTCTACTAAAAATACGAAAATTAGCTGGGTGTGGTGGTGCACGACTGTAATCCCTGTTACTCGGGAGGCTGAAGCAGGAGAATCGCTTGAACGCGGGAGGTGGAGGTTGCAGTGAGCCGAGACTGCGCTCCAGCCTGGGAAACAAGAGCGAAAAACTATGTCTCAAAAAAAAAAAAAAAAAAAAAAAGTCCTAATACTCAACACTTGTTGACTCATTCTTGCCACACCAACCAACGCTGTAAAAATTTAGTCTGGGCCTACTATGGTCTGAAAAGGAACAGGTATTCCCAAATCTAACAGTGAAAGAGAATGACTTAAAAATTATGAAACGTTAAATCACGAGAACAACGAACCCAGGATTCCTGAGAGGGGAGGGGGCTACGCCAAACCCAGAATCCGAAGGCTCATCACGGACCACGGAACGCTTCCTCCCTCACATGTCGGGGTCCCCCTCCACTCGCCCACATCGTCACCCGGGGCCCCTCCAGGGAACCCAACTCTGGGTGTACCCCCATCTCTGGGGGCCCTCAGTCTTTGGGTGGACCACGGTCTTAGGTGGACCCCGGTCTCTGGGGGATCCGATCTCTGGTGGACCCCGGATTCTGCTGGGGGAGGGGAAATGATCCCGAGTACGCGGCCAGACGGTCAGGCCCAGGAGCGGGGGATGGGCGAGCGGAAGGCGACCGCTCTCCCACGGCTACAGGCCCGGACCCTCCCCGGGGACCCAGCTGAGGAGAACGCGAAAGTTGCAGTGGCCCTCCCGGGGCCGCCTACCTTGGCGGACGGCACCACCGTAATTTTCTTGAAGTTGTAATGTGCCATGCCGGCAGCCGTATGCACGCGGGTACTTGGCACTCCCGGAACTTCCGCCGTCGGGCGCAGGTGGGACTTCCACTGTCGGGCGGTTGAGGTACGTCACTTCCGGGAGCTCAGCCAATCGTGTTCTGCGTGCTCTACGGCGCTTTCCGCGTCGCACAGCGCACCCGCCCGGCTTGGAGGTCAGCCACGGAGGGCGTGTGAGGGCCTCAGGAGCGAGGGTACAGAGGAGAGGACGCCCGGGTTTTAGGGGGAGCGCGGAGACTAAATTCCTGCTGAGTAAAGCGGGGGTTTCCGACAGACTGCCCTGCGGGTTTCTGGAGCGGGTTCAGGCCCCCAGCCACGCGCCCTGGGCCAGGGTTGGAGGGTCCGGGGTCTTGGGATTTGGGAGTTGCGGGGCTTAGGAGTCCAGAGGGTCTAGGGGATCCGGGAGTCTGGGGGTCCTGGGTCGCGGCGAGCCCCGCAAAGGAGGAGGAAGCCGCGCGTGCGGGGCGTGCCCAGCCTCTGGGTGTGGAGCAGATGACGCCCCTACCCCGGCCTCGCGCGTGGGACTTGATCCCGGGCCGTGGTGAGGAGGCCCTCGCGGCTTCCCTGCAGCCCTGCTTTCTCGTGCTTGTTAAATCCCAAAACGGGCGGAGAAGGGAAAGCCTGATCTAAGGCAAAAGAGGTGCAGCTGGTTCCGCGCAGTGCCTTAGGAGAGCCCAGGGAACAGTTGCGAGAGACAGTCCTGTGGGGTCCAACTGAGGAGAAGGTTGATGAGGATGGAGCCTTTACTGCTTTTATGTTTGTGAATAGAGTGGCCGCTCCCTTTGGGAACCCAGGGCCACATCCCTTAAATTAAACGTTAGGTAGGGCTGACTCAGTCAAGCAGTGTTCAGAGCTGCTGACTATATATTAACTCGTTTAATTTCTGCAACAGCCTCATGAAGTGCATGGGGAAACAAAGGCACACAAGGCTCGAAAGCACCCCGTGGTTGTGCAGCTGACAAGCTAACAGGCAGCAGAGGTGGGCTTTGAACCCAGGCAGCCTGGCTCCAGCAAACCTGCTTCTAACCATTAGCTATACTGCTTCTCACGCATCTGGGATGCCCCCCACTCTCCAATCCTTTTAAACAAGTCCTATTATTCTTACGCGAAAATACCTCTCATAAATTCCCAGCATTCCAATATTGAAAATCATTCTGGGTCATGCTTTTCTCATCTATTAACTATGCTTCCATTTTTGTGTCACAAGGCGGATAAGCATACCTCCTACATCTTTGTGGCACTTCTAAAGGAAGCTTCTAGGGTAATTAGGATTTGCTGGCTATGATCATTTGCTAAACCACAGGACAGTTCTGGCCACCATTTCCGAGATTAGCAAAGCTATGCTCATACTTATTGCCCTTTCTTTTAGGTTCTTGTATGTTTCCTCAACCTCTCCCACTTTCTCTCACTCTGATATAGCCAGTTCCTCTTTTTCTTGTAATCCGGTATTTAGATAAGTCCAGTCAATACTTTGCTTCAGATGGGCAAACATCCTTTCTTTAATTTTTTTTTTTTTTTTGAGACGGAATCTCACTCTGTCGCGCAGGCTGGAGCGCAGTGGCGCCATCTCAGCTCACTGCAACCTCCGCCTCCAGGGTTCAAGCCATTCTCCTGCCTCAGCCTCCCAAGTAGCTGGGATTACAGGCACCTGCCACCACTCCCGGCTAATATTTTGTATTTTTAGTAGAGACAGGGTTTTACCATATTAGCCAGGCTGGTCTCAAACCCTGACCTCAAGTGATCCACCCACCTTGGCCTCCCAAAGTGCAGAGATTACAGGCATGAGCCACCTGCTTTTAACTTGTTCAGCTACAAAGGCATGTCTGTGAATGCACAACCATAATGACTCATCATGGGCCCAGAGCTATAACAATGATAAGGTACCAAGCATCTTACACCATGTGCGTGTTGATGAGAATCAACATCCTTGCCTGTTCTTGTGATTTTGTGGCAGAGTATAGCTTCTTGGGGGCAAGTATGTATTCTACACCACTAGGAGCAAGCTTCTTTATCATACACTTCTGGGCTTCTCTGGGGAAGCCAAACTCTAAAGGCCTTTTCTGAGGAGTGTCGCAAATGCTGCCTGCAGTACGAGGCACATTGCCAGTTCCTGACTGCATTAGCAGGTTCCAGCTGCCAGGACGCCTCTGAGTGTGTACCTTGTGACAGAAAGGTACTTCTCAGCTGTAGTAAAGGATGCTCTCAAGGGTACTCTGCAAAGCTTCTGACTGCGAGGCACTTCTCAGTAAAAAGCTTTGTTTTTCAGACCTTTTTATTTTGTGGGTTTGGTCTTTTCTGTTTTACCTTCTCGTTGCTGTAATTCTGATGGATGAAAGGTACATTTTGCAGAACTGAACTTCCTGCCTGAAAGGAGCCTTTACATGGGGATTAGCCATCAGTAGGCATCCGGTCTTAGAGGGTCCTATGAGTGCTCCATTGGGCCCGTCGGCCACTTCCCTGGATCCCCACAGGAACTCATTCAGAACGAGTCACATGCTGCTTTGTACCTAGATGCTTCCTTGTGTACATCTTGTTTCCAAAAGAAGTAGCCAGCTCTTCGTGGACAGGAACTGTGTCTTACTTTTTTGCCATCCCTCACCTCAGGCAGCACTGCCAAGAGCATTCACAGTGACTGTGGAACTCCGTTGATTGAATGTTGGCTTGAGTAAGTTCCTGATGTAGGGGCTGTAGCGGTTGGAATCAAGCTTCTGCAATACTCAAGTAGTCCTACTGAATTACAGTACTGTCAGACCCCCTCTGCACAACCCTGAAGTGGGTCAGAACTCCACACTGTGCCATAAAGAGGAAAGCTGTCAACAGGGAGGTCTAAGGAAACACCTCCTTAGGTGGAAGGCAGCAATGGCATGAGAGCCACCCTCCGGGCCAAAGGTGCAGCCTGACATTCTCTGCAGAATTACACAGTGAGTTAAGACTGTGAGCTTCATTTCTGAGATACAGCTCCACCCGCTGTGATCCTGGGAAAATGTCTCAGCTTCCCCAAGCCTCTGTTTCTTCACTCTTTGCTCACTTACTATCTACCAGGCATGTTAAAAATACTTTATGTGAATTATTTTAGCTTTTCACTAACCCTATTCTACAGGCATTAATAAGTGAGCAAAGAGATTGTGTATTATTAATTATGCATTATGTATTATCTATGTTCTTATTAGCTGCTTAGTTACAATAATATTTGCTAAACTTTTGTTCTATTCATTAAATTATCGTTGAACCTTAACAACTGCAATGCAGGGAGCCTCCACCATGTGCCAGGTCACTTGCTTTCTTCTCGGGACAGCATAGTGAGGTGGGTGTGATTGTCTCTGTTTCACAGACAAGAGTGCTGGCTTTGAGGTGGTTGAGTGCTTGCTCACCGTCACACAGCTGGAGAGACACAATGAGGTGCGTTCAGGGCGCATGGAACTCCAAAGCCACTCTCCTTTTGCACTGCCAGCCGAGAGTGGCTTTGTTCTTGACCTCTGTAGAGTTATTACCTTGTTTGGTATTTGTTTGTTTGTTTATTTATTTATGAGACAGGGTCTCACTCTGTCGCCTAGGCTGGAGTGCAATGGTGTGATCTTGGCTCACTGCAACCTCCACCTCCCAGGTTTAAGCAATTCTCAGATTTAAGTGCCTCAGCCTCCCGAGTAGCTGGGACTACAGGTACATGCCACCACACCTGGCTACTTTTTGTATTTTTTAGTAGAGGGGAGATTTCGCCATGTTGTCCAGGCTGGTCATGAATTGTTTGGTATTTAAATGGAGGTACATGATGGATTGCACTTGGGGTCATATGCTGTCAATAATCCCCCAGCACCTGTGTTTCACTAAAGCACTGTTTGCATATGCAGACAGGTTGTGTTTCTTCTGTGAGAATTCCGTTCCTGTGCGTGGATCATGACAGGCACCTGTGCTAATGAACTTCTGCCCTTGCTCACGTCAGAGCTGCTGATAAGGGGTGTTTCTATGGGTTGAGTACGAGTCATTCTATTGACACACTGTTAAAAACATTCTTTGCATTCTGCTGTTCCATAAAGGAACAATTTTAGGTTTAATGGAAATCTTGCGATCTCTTTTCCTAGAGAAGATTTGTGATAATAATCATACACGTATTTGGAATGCATGTACTTATGCTTGTATGATCAATTTCCAAATGATTCTAAATATCTGCAGGCAGAATTTCTTAAGATTAGCATTCTGTGCTGTACCCAAAAAGATACTCGAGATAAGCAAAGACAAGTTTCATGTTGCAACAGACATCTGAATCCTTAGTGTTTCTGGAAGCTGGTTAAGCAGGTGGTTGTGATGTCTGACCCTCAGGTTAAAAACAGTGAAAAAAATTCACTTTGATGATGTGACGTCATTGTCACAAGTTTAATAATTGATTTTGAAGGTCTGCACAAGGAAACCATAATGCTTTAGCAATTTCCGTTTTCCAGAGGGAGGAGGCTTAAAATTTCAATTCCAGCCCTGCCACCAACTTCTAGACTAATAGTAAGCTAAGTGCCTTTCCTGCTATTATTTTTAATTAAAAACATATTATTTCCTCACAAAAGCATAGAAGTATAAAAATAATAGTATTCACTATCAGAATGTATGTGTCTGGACAGTCTAAATTATCCTGTGATAACAAATAGTCTCCAAATCTCAGCATCAGTTATTTCTCTCTGATGCTCCACGCCCACTGCTGTGGACCAAATTAAGTCTCCCCAAATTCATACGTGAAAGCCCTGTCTCCCAGTGTTAAGGTGTTTGGAGATGGAGCCTTGGGGAGGTAATTCGGTTCAGAAAAGGTCACGAGGCTGGAGCTCTCCTGATGGAATTAGCACACTTATGAGAAAAGACACCAGAGAGCTGCTCCCAGGCTTCCCCGACCCCATGCTTGCACCAAGGAGAGACCATGTGAGCACAGAGAGAAGGCGGCTTTCCACAAGCCAGGAAGAGGCTGCACCAGAACCCAACTATGCTGGTGTCCTGATCTGGACCTTCCAGTCTCCAAAACTGTGAAAAGAAAATTTTCTGTTGTTTAAGCCACTCAGTCTGGTATTTTGTTATGGCAGCCCAAGCTGGTTAAGATACTCACCATAGGTCAGCAGGGGCCTCTGTTCAGGATGGTCATTGAGGGAGCAGACTCCTGGAGTAAAGGTTGACAATAGCTATGCTGAGGAAAGGGGAATGAATTTGACAATTAAATGTTTCCGTCTCAGCTCCCATGGGCCTATTTCTGGACAGTGAGTTGAGAATAACAGAGTTATCTGTAAACAGTACTGATGCCTACTGCATTGGCATCTAAAGAAGATGCTCTTTAAATCTGTGCTCAACTGATAATTAATCCAAATATGCTACAACGAATAATGTCAAAATACTTAAGTTTAGAAAATCCGAACCTATGACCAATACATAAAGAGAAAGGTAATAACCCCTCTTCTGTTCCTCTGTCCCAGGCTAATATTGACTAATGCAGGTCTTCCTTCATAAATGTTCATTCATTTAAAAACTCCATTAAAGCATCAGTATACCTGGGGACTGACAAAGTAGGAATTCCAAACTCTTAAGAAAACATGAAAGAACTCTTGTGAATGATCCCTACCCAGCAAATAACTCCTATCCTGTTTCCTTTCGCCTTATAGTCTGTTTCAGCTGATCATCTTCATAGCTCACTTTCCATTGGGATTAATGCAGACCACTTTTTTATTTTAAGCTATTCTCATTTTCAAAATTTCTGTGGCAGACTGCCATGCCAATACTCCGTAAACAGAAGTTGAAACACATTCAAAATGGGAAAGTACTAGGAAGGCCATGTGATTGGTGGAGAAAATTGAATCATACAGAATTTTAATAACTTTAAATAGTAAATTTTAGAAGTATATATGTAAAAACTTCATGATTTCATATTTTGAGGCAATATGTTATTGCCTGCTATATGTGGCTTTATCTAGATAGTGTTTTCCATCTTGTCAACTCATCACAATTTGCTCTTTTTTCCCTTTTTACTTGACTGGCCCACTCTGCCATGAGAAAATGTGGTCTAGTCCAAATTATTTTTTAAAATATAAAAAGTTATAGGTTGAGGCTGGGCGCAGTGTCTCACGCCTGTAATCGCAGCACTTTGGGAGGCCAAGGTGGCAGATCACTGGAGGTCAGGAGTTCGAGACCAGCCTGGCCAACATGGCAAAACTCCATCTCTACTAAAAATACAAAACCTAGTTGGGCATAGTTACACGCACCTGTAGGCTGAAGCAGGAAAATTGCTTGAGGCAGGAGGTTGCAGTGAGCCAAGATTGTGCCACTGCACTCCAGCCTGGGCAACATAGTAAGATTCCATCTCAAAAAAAAAAAAAAAAAGAAAGAAAGAAAGAAAGAAAAAAAAGCTATAGGTTGAAGAAGTAGCAGATCAAAAAAAAAAGTAGCTAATCAAAGAATAGCTTTGATTAGCACATATATGCTAAAAGCATGTTTACCCTGCTGCCTGCTGCTAGATTCAGGCAATTTCAGACATTATCTGTTCCACACATAATAACAAATTTTAAAACAAGTGCCATTTCTTTTACATGGTCAGCTAGGGATAAAGAACAGTCTCATTGAAAACAGTACATGGCTGGGTGCGGTGGCTCATGCCTGTAATCCAGCACTTTGGGAGGCCGAGGCAGGTGGATCATGAGGTCAGGAGTTCAAGACCAGCCTGGCCAAGATATGAAACCCCATATCTACTAAAACTACAAAAATTAGCTGGGCACAGTGGCAGGCGCCTGTAATCCCAGCTATTCTGGAAGCTGAGCAGGAGAATCACTTGAACCTGGGTAGCAGAGGTTGCGGTGAGCCGAGATCGTACCACTGCACTCCAGTCTGGGCGACAGAGTGAGACTCCATCTCAAAAAACAAAACGAAACAAAAAAAAAGTACAAAGTACCTAAAATATGTTTTAAACACCCTTTAAAGTTATCTAAATATTACTTAGTGATATAGTTTGGATATTTTTCCCACCCAAATCTCATATTGAATTGTAATCCCCAGTGCTGGAGGTGGGGCCTCGTGCAAGGTGTTTGGATCACAGAAAATTGGTACCAACGAGTGGAGCATTGCTATAAAGATACCTGAAAACATAAAATTAACTTTGGAACTAGGTAATAGGCAGAGGTTGGAAGACTTTGGAGGGCTCAGAGGAAGACAGGATGATGAGGGAAAGCTTAGAACATCTTAGAGACTGGTTCAGTGGTTGTGACCGAAATACTGATAGTGATATGGACAGTGAAGTCCAGGCTGCTGAGGTCTCAGATAGAAATGAGGAAATTATTGGGAACTGGATCAAAAGTCACCCTTGTTATGCCTTAGCAAAGAGCTTGGCTGCATTCTAGTCGTGCCCTGGGGATCTGTGGAAGTTTGAACTAAAAAGTGATGCTTTAGGGCATCTGACAGAAGAAATTACTAAGCAGCAAAGTGTTCAAGAGATAGCCTGGCTAATTCTAACAGCTTACCTCAGATGGGGGAGCAAAGAAATGACCTAATGTTGGAACTTACATTTAAACAGGAAGCAGAGTATAAAACTTTGGAAAATCTGCAGCCTGGCCATGTGGCACAGAAAGAAAAAGCTTTTTAAGGAGAGGAACTAAAGCAGGCTGCAGAATGACCACTTGCTAGGGATATTTGCATAACTAAAAGCGAGCCAAAATAATGGGGAAAAAGGCTTGAAGGCATTTCAGAGATCTTCCCAGGAGCCCCTCCCATCATAGGCCCAGAGGCCTAGGAGGGCAGAATGGTTTCACGGGTCAGGCCCAGGGTATCCATTGCCCTGCACAGCCTTGGGACACTGCTTCCCACATTTCAGCTGCTTAGCTGCAGCCGTGGTTCAAAGGGGCCCAGTTATAGCTTGGACCGCCACTTTGGAGAACATAACCGTTGGCAGCTCCTGCATGGTGTTAAGCATGCAGGTGCACAGAATGCAAGGATGAAGAACTCTTGGTGGCCTCCACCTAGATTTCAGAGGATGTATGAGAAATTCTGAGTGCACAGAGAAGCCTGCTGCAGGGAGAGAGCCCTCACAGAGAACCTCTGCCATGGCAGTGCCAAGGGGAAATGTGAGGTTGGAGCCCCCACACAGAGTCCCCACTGGGGCACTGCCTAGTGGAGCTATGAGAAGGGGACCATCATCCTCCAGAAACCAGAATGGTAGATCCACCAGCAGCTTGCACCCTACACCTGGAAAAGCCACAAGCATTCAACTCCAACTGGTGAGAGCAGCCCAGGGGGCTGAACCCTGCAAAGCCACAGGGGCAGAGCTGCCCAAGGCCTTGGGAGACCACCCTTGCAGCCGTGTGCCCTGGATGTGAGACATGGAGTCAAAGGAGGTTATTTTGGAGCCTTAAGATTTAATGACTCCTGCTAGGTTTTGTTTGCCTGGGGCCTGTAGTGCCTTTCTTTTGGCTGATTTCTCCCTTTTGGAATGGGAATGTTTACCCAATGCTGCCTATATCTCCACTGTGTCTTGGAAGTAAAGACAGAGTCTCGCTCTGTCACCCAGGCTGGAGTACAGTGGTGCGATCTCAGCTTACTGCAAGCTCTGCCTCCTGGGTTCACACCATTCTCCTGCCTCAGCCTCCCGAGTAGCTGGGACTACGGGTGCCCACCACCACACCTGGCTAATTTTTTGTATGTTTAGTAGAGACGGGGTTTCACCATGTTAGCCAGGATGGTCTCTATCTCCTGACCTCGTGATCCACCCACCTCAGCCTCCCAAAGTGCTGGGATTACAGGCATCAGCCACCGCATCTGGCTGAAGACACTATTAACAGAAGTGTTAGCTGGGTTAAAAGAACCAACAAAGGATGACAAAGGACCCAGTTAACTGGCAACTGTGGGAAGCCATCACAATTCATAGGACTGAGGGTTAAGGCAATGATAGAACCTAGCAAATGCTAAAACCATGTAGAAGGGCCCTAGGTGGGAGCCACAGCCATAGAGGAACACAGTGACACCAAGGCTCAGCCCTGCAGAAAGGGAGTGAGAGAAATTAATAACCAGAGCAGTCTCTCCTCCTTATAATTCTGCTGGGGCCTCCCTTTGACTAACCCAACAGCCAGAATGCAAGAGGGCCTGGACATCCAGTCTGTAGAAGTCAACTTCCAGGGGCATAGAGCAGGGCAGAGGAAGACACAATCTGGAGGGGCAAATGGAAAACACACAACACTGAACTTAAGCAGATTGAAATAGATTGAGAAGACCGGTAGGATTGAGAGCAAATGTTTGTCCAATAAGTACTCCAGAAGGACAGGAGAAGGAGCAAGGGAAGGAGGCAATGGTTGAAGATATAAAGACTAAGATTTTTCCAGGAAAGATAAAGTACCAGAATGATAAATAAGAAATCATAGACAGAATGCAGAATACCAAAGCCAAGAACAATTTGTTAAAAGCAACTGAAAGGAAAAGCCAGATTGCCATCAAAAGAGCAACAGTGAGTGTGACAGCTGACTGCTCAACAGTAACATTGAGAGACAGGAGACAGTGGAATATCTTCAATATTAAGGAGGGGGGGTGGGAAACAAACAATGCTGCCAAACTAGAATTCGATGCCCAGAGAAAATATCCTTTAAGGATGAGGAGAAAAACATTTACAGACAAAGGAACACTGAGAAATCTTACCATAAGCCAACCCTTTGTAAAAGAAAGTTTAAATAATATACTTGCAATAGAAGCAAAGTGATCAGAATGAGGAACAAATAAAGTGCATAAAAAACAATAGTAATATCTTATTACATTTTAACACATAATTAATAAAGCCTATAAATCAAGAAAGGGATAGAGTTAAGAGTTCTAGGTCCTACTTTCAGAACTAGGGTAAAGTACTGATGAACTTAAGACTTGGTAAATTAAGTATCCCTGTTATAATTCCTAGGTTAATGATTATAACTACACAAGCAGAATGTATAACTTCCAAATTAGTAGAAAAAAATCTAAAATGGTTAACAAAAGCTAATTGAAATGAAGGCAAGAAAAAAGTGAAAAGAAACAAAAAAATGGAAAAACCACAAATAATATGGTAGCTATAAACCCAAATGTGTTAATAAGTACAATAAATGTTTAATTCATAAAGATAACTTTAATGTAAACCAATAACGTAACCTTGAAATATAGAATGCGAAAATTGACTTACAAAGAGAAACTCGTTTCTCTGTACATGAGTACAAAATTCTACCTGAAAGTTAACGAGGTAAACATCCATCTTAAATTTAAGAACAGCAAAATAAAGTAAAAGAACAAATAAAATGAAGGAATGAGCAGAAATTCATGCTGTATAAAACAAAAGTTGATAAGGAAAAGACTAAATGGTCAAACCTGGGGCAAGACTGATGAAGAAAAGTGAATAGTGGAAATACTGTTTCCAGCCTAGAGGTGGCTCCTGAATGTGTGGCCTCATTCTTCAGCCCCATTATTCTGTTTGTAACTCTATAGAAATAGCCTATGGGATAGGGTAGTTCATCTGGCACACCCTAGGCGGGGGGCTCACTTTTAAAGTGTGGCAGTGTGGGTAGAGTTGCCTCACCCACCCCCACACCCAGTGACCTCAGTCCACCCTTGCCTTTCATCAGGGTCTTTGTATGTAGTCATCCCTTGGTATGGGTGGAGCATTGGTTCCAGGAATCCCTGTGGACACCCAAATCAGTGGATGCTCAAGTCCCTGGTATAAAATGGCATAGTATTTGCATATAACCTATGCAATCCTCCTGTGTACTTTGTCATCTCTAGGTGATTTATAATACCTAATACAATGTAAATGATATATAAATAGTTGTACTATATTGTTTAGGGAATAATAACAAGAAAAAGAACTCTAGGCCAGCACGTTGGCTCACGCCTATAATCCCAACACCTTGGGAGGCTGAAGCGGGAGGATCTCTCTCTCTCTCTTTTTTTTTTTTTTCTGAGATAGGATCTTGCTTTGTAGCCCAGACCCAGGCTGGAGTGCAGTGGCACTATCTTGGCTCACTGCAGCCTTGACCTCCCAGGTTCAAGTGATTCTCCTGCCTCAGCCTCCCGAATAGCTGGGAATACAGGCACGCATCACAGCGCCCAGCTGGGAGGATCTCTTCAGCCCAGGAGTTCAAGAGGGCAACAGTGAGATCCCATCTCTACAAAAGATAAAATAATTAGCTGTGCATGGTGACAAGTTCCTGTAGTCCCAGCTACTCAGGAGGCTGAGGTGGGAGGATCATTTGAGCCCAGGAAGTAGAGGCCACAGTGAGCTGTGATCACACCACTGCATTCCAGCCTGGGCGACAGAGCCAGACCCTGTCTGTAAAAATAATAAATAAATAAATAAATAAATAAAATAAATTCAGCATTATTTAAATACCTTATGGTAGACTCACTGATTTAAACTCATGCCACTGATTCCTCTCTGCTAAGTGAAAGATCTGTTCCTCAAGTGTCTCATTTTGCAGACAAGAAAGCGAGTTCCACACATTACATGACAGGCCTATGTTCTACTAGGCCGGGTCCACACATTACACAACAGGCCTACCTTCTACTAGGCCGGGCTGCACATTACGTGACAGGCCTACCTTCTACTAGGTTGGGTCCACACGTTGCACAACAGGCCTACCTTCTACTAGGCCGGGTCCACACGTTACATGACAGGCCTACCTTCTACTAGGCCGGGTCCACACATTACATGACAGGCCTACATTCTACTAGGCCAGGTCCACACATTACACGACAGGCCTACCTTCTACTAGGCCAGGCCACACATTACATGACAGGCCTACCTTCTACTAGGCCGGGCCACACATCACGTGACAGGCCTACATTCTACTAGGCAGGGTCCACACGTTGCATGATAGGCCTACATTCTACTAAGCCGGGCCACACATTACACGGCAGGCCTACCTTCTACTAGGCCGGCCACACATTACGCGGCACCTACCTTCTACTAGGCCGGGCCGCACATTACGCAACAGGCCTACCTTCTACTAGGCTGGATCCACACATTACACGACAGGCCTACCTTCTACTAGGCCGGACCGCACATTACGCGGCAGGCCTACATTCTACTAGGCAGGGTCCACACGTTGCATGATAGGCCTACATTCTACTAAGCCGGGCCACACATTACGCGGCAGGCCTACCTTCTACTAGGCCGGGTCCACACGTTGCACGACAGGCTTACATTCTACTAGGCCGGGTCCACACGTTACGTGACAGGCTTACATTCTACTAGGCCGGGTCCACACGTTGCATGATAGGCCTACATTCTACTAAGCCGGGCCGCACATTACGCAGCACCTACCTTCTACTAGGGCGGGCCGCACCTTACGCGACAGGCCTACCTTCTACTAGGCCGGGTCCACACGTTGCACGACAGGCTTACATTCTACTAGGCCGGGTCCACACGTTACGCGACAGGCTTACATTCTACTAGGCCGGGTCCACACGTTGCACGACAGGCCTACATTCTACTAGGCTGGGTCCACACATTACGTGACAGGCCTACCTTCTACTAGGCCGGGTCCACACGTTGCACGACAGGCTTACATTCTACTAGGCCGGGTCCACACGTTGCACGACAGGCCTACATTCTACTAGGCTGGGTCCACACATTACGTGACAGGCCTACCTTCTACTAGGCCGGGTCCACACGTTGCGCGAGAGGCTTACATTCTACTAGGCCGGGTCCACACGTTGCACGACAGGCTTACGTTCTACTAGGCTGGGTCCACACATTACGTGACAGGCCTACCTTCTACTAGGCCGGGCTGCACATTACGCGACAGGCCTACCTTGTACTAGGCCGGGCCACAATTCTTGCCTTCCTATTGTGTTTCCCACTTCACACTGCCTGGCTTCTGTCACGTCCACCCCAAGAGACCTGTGTGCATTCAGACGATTCGCCACGCAGTGGAGCTCCCTTGAAAGTCGCTCCTTGACTGCACCTAAGAAAACAGCATTTCTTCCATTTCTTCAAACCTAACATTTTGTATATGAAAATCTAGGCAGGGCTTGTGCCCCAGTGACTGGAAGAAGAAATTCTAGGAGTACACCTCAGGGTGTTTAGTGAATCGCAACTGAATTCAACAGACGCTTACTGAGCTCCAGCTGTGCGGCAGACCCTGTACTAAACACGTGGGGACATTAGTAAATAAAACAACATGTCACTATTGCTGCATCAGGACGTGTGCTCGGGACACCACGGGTGGATGCCGTCAGGAGAATTAATTCAAACAAGCACATCATCTGAGAACTGTATTGTAAACTATTTCTCATTAATAGATGTGCTACTTTTTCTGACTGCTGAGAACCTATAAAATCATGAAAGTAACTTGTATGTATTTCCCTTTTAAACATCAAATTTTTATGTAAGTGACTTCCTCTGAAGCACAGGCATTTCTGTGTGCTGGTTTGATCTGCTGTGGTGGTGACTAGTGGACACACAAGGAGCCAGGCAGGGCCTGCAGAGGCCAGACCCCATCCCAGCCACTGAACAGTGCCAGGTCTTGAGCCTCCTGAGCCTGCCCTGGCTTCCACCCCCACCGCTACTTTCCCAGTCACACTATCATCTCATGCCTGTCCCCAGACCCTTGAATGGCAGAGTGGGAGGCTTGAGCGTCTGTGCAACAGTGACAGCCGACATTTGTTGAATGTTGTGGAGCTCCAAGCTTTCGATGAGCGTGAAGCTGTTTAATCTTCACAGCACCCTTGAGGTCTGTATTAGCAGGTGTTTCACGGTTGAGGTAAACTACATCTTGTTGAACTTCTGTAAACACAGAACCGATTACAGTCTGGCCTAATGGGCGAGGGAGCTCGGACCAGTGGCCTGGCCTCATTTCTGTGTTCTGAGACAAGCAGCCCAGGTCAGAGCAGTGCTTTCCAGATGACAGTGTGCACGCCACAGCCCCTTGCTTTACGTGAGTTATTTCTAGTCCCGAGAGCAAGGCTTCAAGAGAGCCTTTCACATTCCCAATTTATAGATAAGGAAACCGAGGCCCGGAACAATGAAGGAAGCTGAGAGCACACAGGCCGTGGGTGCCCAGGCCTCTCTGAGAAACACTCAGACGCATTTGCCACGGTAAGGCTCCCTGGGAAGTTGCGGTTTCAGAAGCTCAGCATTGTCTGGAGAAATAGTTAATGGGGGAAAGAGGCAAACTCCCCAGGGAACACTCCTCAAGGGGAAAATCCCTTCCCACCCGCCCTGGGTTTCCGTGGGAGCGAGCCATGTAGACAAAGCACCTGCTGAGTCACTCCTCATGGGACCTTGACCACTGCCCCTCCTGGTTACCCCGTGCTGTCTGGAGGTTGAATCGAGTGTTTGCCATTCCAAACCAGCTCTCCCAGACCTCGCACAAAAGGTGTGATGTTTGATTAGCTGTGCAGAAGCAGGCTCACTCCCCAGGTTCTCCGACTGTCCACCTTTGGGACACAGGGAGCTGTTGATGTTTGTCAAGTTGGGTCCATCCTTGGGAGTTTTGAAGGTTGTAAAGGACCACATGGGGAAAGGGCACTTCCTAAGGTTATTCCCACCTAACTTAAGGTCATGGACCAGAGTTAGGGGACTGGAAATACTCTGTCACACCTCAGCATGAAAACACGGCAGAAATCCTGAGAGAATGCACTTTTCTCACTCCACGGTATCACTGCTTCCCTGAGATGGTGGAAGATAACATGTTATTCATGAGGGCTAAGCTGTTAAGATCTAGTGCATGTAACCTCTGGAAGCTCTTAACTACAGCATGCAAATGACAATACTGTATGGTTAAAAATTTAGCTAACGGGAACCAGTGTGGCTGTGGCTAGAGCACAGGGAAGTATGTTAAAAGTTCAACAGGCCAGGCGCAGTGGCTCACACCTGTAATCCCAGCACTTTGGGAGGCCGAGGCAGGGAGACCACGAGGTCAGGAGATCGAGACCATCCTGGCTAACATGGTGAAACCCCGTCTCTACTAAAAATACAAAAAATCAGCCGGGTGTGGTGGAGGGTGCCTGTAGTCCCAGCTACTTGGGAGGCTGAGGCAGGAGAATGGTGTGACCCCGGGAGGCAGAGCTTGCAGTGAGCTAAGATCATGCCACTGCACTCCAGCCTGGGTGACAGAGCAAGACTCCGTCTCAAAAAAAAAAAGTTCACCAAAAGCGGATCACGTTCGGATTTTTAAGTGAGAACTGAATGGTTGTTGTTTTATAGGAGTGGGGTGTGCCATGCCCTGTGTGAGGAAGAGGTTGTGCTATCCCAGCCACCCTGCGAGCTCCCCCTGCCCCGGTGAGTTGTCCCTGCTGCACTCTCCAGCAGTCTGGGCCCATTTCCATCAGGGCTTTGGCAGGTGGGACTCTCATAGCACATCCCCCTCCATCACCAGACCAGAGCTCCTTTACTCTCTGCAAGAAAGGCAGCCCGCAGCACAGGGTCAGCAGCTGAGTGGGCACTGAGTGGGTGCTTGCCCCTCGACTTCTCCCATTAGCCTCCTTGCCTCTTTGTCCCACCCACAGAATCACAGTGGTAACGCCTACTGCACGGGGAGGAACTGAGCATGGTTTCAGTAGCTTAGCTGATGCGTCTCCAGAAAACTCGATGTGGCTCAGCAGCGAGCCCTCCAAACAAACAACAGACAGAACTGCCAGCATTCTCTGTAATGCCAAGACCTGCTGGGCAGCATGTGTGGCCTTGGAGAGGGGAAAGAATGCGGCTACCTGGGGCTGCATCTTCTTTATTTTCTAACTACTTTTCTCTGCCTTATGTCATTTACTTGTCAATATCAGATCTCAATGTAGAATGCCTGATATTCTCAGTGTTTGATTCTCAGCAAGTGCATACTTCATACCAGTCAAACGGCTTACATAGAAATGGAATGTTTCATGATTGCTTGGAAGTCTCTAAACACCCCTTTCTTGGTCTAACTCTGACGCTGTGGCTGTGTGATCTGTCTTCCTCTGGCTTCTACATGAGTGGACATGAACCCCTTTGGAACCTGTCACCCCTCTGAGAATAGAATGAGAGCTGTGGACTGTCCTGCCACAATTCCACAGACTGGGTAATACATAAGGAATAGAAGTTTTTTTGGCTCATGTTTCTGGAGGCTGGGAAGTCCAAGAGCATGGTGCCAGCATCTGGTGAGGGCCTTCCCCTGGTGGAAGTGGGTGCAAGAGACAGAGAGAGGCTGGGTGCGGTTGCTCACGCCTCTAATCCCAGCACTTTGGGAGGTCGAGGCAGGCAGATCACCTGAGGTCAGGAGTTCAAGACAAGTCTGGCCAACATGGCAAAACCCTGTCTCTACTAAAAATACAAAAATTACCCAGGCGTGTTGACACATGCCTGTAGTCCTAGCTACTCAGGAGGCTGAGGCAGAAGAATCGCTTGAACCTGGGAGGCAGAGGTTGCAGTGAGCTGAGATTGCACTACTGCACTACTCCAGCCTGGGCAACAATTGCAAAACTCCGTCTCAAAAAAAAAATAAAGAGAGAGAGAGAGGAATGGGAATGAACTTATCAGGAGCCACCTCCCTCGACAACGAATCCACTCCCGACACAAAAGCATATTCCATCCACAGGGGCAAAGCCTCAGGCCTAATCTCAGAAAGGCCCCAACACGGTTACAAGAGCAACTCAGCTTCCAGCACGTGAACTCCGGGGCACTAGCAGACTCCGCGCTCAGAACATTGGCACTTCTCATTTGAACTCTATCTTCACACACCCTGCGTGAACTGGGAAGCGCCCTCAGCAAATAGACTCATGTGGCTACACTAAGCTTGTTCACTTTGCCTCCCGCCTTGCAAGGGTTTTGCCCTTCCAGTTTCTGTCAGCTTCTGGGTGATCTCTAGTGCCTTCAAACTGTTGTTTTAATATCTAATACAGAAGCTATCATCGTTATTAGCAGGAGAGTTCCTCCAGTACAGGCAACTCTGCCGTGGCCGAAAACAGATTATGCAAAACAATTTCACCCTGTGGATGTACATGCAGATTATGGACTGATACATAATCAAAATCAGAAATCTTTACAAATTGAGGAAAATGTTTTTTCCTACTATTGTTATAAAATAGTTTGGGCCACTTCTACTTCCTAGTATCCCTGGATTACGTAACAGTAACAGCTGCGATTCAGTTCCACATTCTACATGTAAGGAGCGAGGGGTGGGAGCCCAGCCTTCCTGCCTTGCATCTCCCCTGTCCTTGTGCTTCATCTCAGCAGCATTACGTCATACTTGCTAATAATTCACCTAAGAGTGACAAAAATAATTTTTATAAGCATGTCACAAAAAGGAAGGAAAAGTTTCTTTTCCCTGCTTTGATATTAGAACCAAATGGAGCTCTGGAAGTTTTCAATAAAATGAAAAATGATTTAAATTGGAGGAAAAAATTCTGTTCCAAAGGCTTACCCAAATAACTCTTTTCTAAAACTGCGGCTGGGCTTGCAGAACTGCCAGAGGGACTGGGCATGAAACGTGCTGGGCGGCTCAGTGTGCCCGTGTGCACTAATGCTGCTTTAATTGGATTTTGCAAACACTGATGATGTCCTCTGACACGCAGCAGAGCAATCTCAGGGCAGTGGAGCCAAGGCCACCGCTTGGAGCCCTGACACATCCATCATAAAACGCTCAGCTGGGCTGGGAAGTAACCTTAGTACTTCCACTGTCTCTTCTCAGTCTCTGCCTTCCATTTCCTTTGCCCCTAATCCCTCTGGCTCTGCTTGCAACATGTACTTCAAATGTCTTCTCTCTTTATGCTCAGTCCGGTCTTACAGTTACCATAAGAAGAAAAAAACACATTCCTTACACATCAAGAAAGAAAACAACACCTCTGACCTTGAGAGCAATCAAAGCTGACACGGCTGAATTTTCCCTGTTTGCAAATGAATTCAGTCACCCATTCGAGGATCCAGAGTAAAATAAACACTTCAGTGGTCACTCAGGGCAGAGTGTTATGGCACAGAAGTCCCGATGAGTGCTTTCAAAGGACGGCTGTGCAAATATTTACAAGCTCTTAGAGACTCAGTCCAGTCCCACTTGTGAGCCAGGGATTCTGATAATTCATAGAATGACAGAACCCCAGATTTGGGAGGGGTGGAAGATATTGCTTAATCCAGTGTGTGACACCCATCATGGAATTTTCCCTTAAAACGCCCCTGAAAGATGGGTGTTAGTGTTCTGCCCTGTGGCAGGAGCTCCGGCTTCCAAAAGCACTCTCCTACTGCTGGGAGTGACAATGCTTAGACATTTCTTTTTGCAGTAACTAAACCTTCCTTCCAGAACCTTCTACTCATTGGTCCTTGATCTGTCCTTGAGCTGTATAAATGTATAGTCATCGAATCCATAAGTATAGGCATGCAAGAAAGTAATTTCTTTAAGTCAATTTCCATTCATGTCTAAGCCTCCTTCCATCAGCATTGTGTCGACACTTCATCTCAGTCGTTATTAGTTCCCAGTCACTGCCCGACGGCCCTGGGACAACAAAGAGGTCACCGGAGTTGTGGCAGAGCCTAGCACCCAGGGACCTCCTGCAGGCGTCAGTCCGGGCTCATGACTGCTGAAATGCTTACGGTCCCTTGCCTTCCATGTGGGCTCATGACTGCCAAAATGCTCACGGTCCCTTACCTTCCATGTGGGCATGCAGGTCACGAACTCCCGTCAGCTGCATGTGAGGTCCTCTCTTTTGGACATCTCCATAAAATGGGAGTCAGCCTTCCTCTAATCTTGGGATAGTTCCATTCCCTTCTTCCCAGAGCAGTTCTTTTTCTCCTAATTTTCTTTTATTTTTTTTTGAGACAGAGTCTTGCTGTGCTGTTCCGGCTGGAGTGCAATGACGCAATCTTGGCTCACTGCAGCCTCTGCCTCCTGGTTCAAGCAATTCTTGTGCCTTAGTCTCCTGAGTAACTGGGACTACAGGCGTGTGCCACCACGCCTGGCTAATTTCTGTATTTTTAGTAGACACAGGATTTTGCCATGTTGGCCAGGCTGGTCTCAAACTCCTGGCCTCAAGTAATCTATCCACCTCTGCCTCCCAAAGTGCTGGGACTACAGGTGTGAGCCACCGTGCCGAGCCTTTTCTCCTAATTCTTAAACACATCACTCCTCTATCTACCCTACCACTACATTCTTCCAAGCTTTTATAAAAGTCAAGAAGAGCCCTTGTCATCAAGCTTTCTGGAAAACACCCGCAGCAGCTGAATTCAAAGTCTGAACCGTCACTTGGAGTGGAGTTGGGAGATGGGAGAACAAACCGGGAAGGTAAATGGAGGAAGACACAATACAGGTTGTCACTGCCTACCTCGTAAAAGGAACCATTTTTTCCCCTTACTTTCCTCCCAAATATTTGAAAAGATCTTTCGTGTTTGCCTGAAATCCTATCCAATCCAGAAATTATTCCCATTTCCTTCCACTATTCCTCATAAGACAGAGTTCCTGGTGTTTTACCTTATCTCAGTCTGCACTTGTCTGCCCAAGTCTCTCTTAAGATACGGTGCCAAGGCCCAAGGGCACACGGAAGATGTGTTCTACCGACTCCGAAGGTCACAGGGCTTGGAGAATAGCTGTTGTTCCGGGGAATGCACAATGAATAAAGCATAAGATCATAACAGCTTTCTCCACAGACACAGCATCCTGTGATTTATATTGCATTTGCAGTTAGATAGAACTGCCTATTCTCTTTCTAGCCCTTTCCCCAGGATGTGCTTGCTGTCGCGCAGGAAGCCATCATACGCGAAGGCGCTCACGCCCACAGCTACCAGACTCTGAAGAAGATGGCATTTCCTCCCGATGTTGCCATCACTTCATTCCGTCAGCCAAGTTCTTCTTTGTGGCTCAAGGAATGTTCGCTCTTTGAGATACCATCAACAAAGCACGTGAAATTGTCAGAGGCTGAGCTTTCAGGAAAATCCTATTGACAACAGCCAAGTGGGAGTCAGTCTCCGTCCTCAGTGACCTGTCTTTGTTCCTTAGATTAGAGGACCCTCATTCACATCTTCTTTCTGCGGCGATAGTCAAGATGCTCACATGGGGTAAAACCCTATCAATTTAGGCTAATTGGAGGGAAGGCCGTGGAATGAGGGAAAAGTCAAGTGTATTCAGTAACCAAAAAATATGCTAATAAAGGGTTGCTAAGTAGAAAAACATTCTTTGGAAACTATCTCTAAGAACTATTTTAATTATCACACAAACTGCTTGTATGGTGCATTTATAAAGTTTGACCTCAGTTTGTTCTTAAGCAGCATTACTTGCTGGGAAAGCCTTTTTATCAGCTCAACGCCACACTCCAACTTGAGCTCAGTATGGTTAGTACAAATTACCAATTACCAGGTTTCATGTTAATGAGGTTTTCATGCCATAAGGATTATAGGGTCTTGGAGACAGAAGGAATCTTAGTGGGAATTGAATCCAATCTTTTATCCATTTCTAGAAGCCTCTGCTTGACTATTTCCTGAGCCAGAACCACACATATGAGGGGATAACACAGTCCATCAAAAACACTGCTCTAGAACATAGAAAACAGGGCCGGGCGCGGTGGCTCCTGCCTGTAATCCCAGCACTTTGGGAGGCTGAGGCGGGCGGATCGCCTGAGGTCGGGAGTTCGAGACCAGCCTGGCCAACATGTTGAAACCCTGTTTCTACTAAAAACACAAAAAATTAATGGGGCATGGTGGCACACGCCTGTAATCCCAGCTACTTGGAAGGCTGAAGCAGGAGAATTGCTTGAGCCCAGGAGGCGGAGGTTGCAGTGAGCCGAGATCATGGCTGGGTGAGGAAGCTTAATGAAGATGGTGTGCCCACGGAATTCCCGGCATTCCTCCCTCTGTTGCCCCCTGAAGTCCGGGGTTGCCTCCGCCTGGCCCAGTGTCAGGCTGGCTTCCGATTCTCTCCGCAGCAAGGGCTGAGCCTCCTCCTTCCTAGAGTTCTGCGATTTCGTGGCATGCTTTGTGGGTCTTGTCCATTCTTTGCTTAGGCTGGAACTCGTTTCTTTTAAATGTTTTAGCTCCTCACTGAACCAAAAATGTATCTTTATTCTTTTATTTTTCATCTCTTTGTCTTGTGGTTTCACCTTCTGAGAGTTTTTAAAGATTTTATCTTCCAACCTTTCTTTTGCGGTTGGCATTTTTGCTCTCATAGTTTAATTTTTTTGCACAAGCTTTTGTTTCCTTTCATACGTTCCTTTTTAAGGTGTTCTGTTCTTGTTTCATGGGTTCAATGTCTACTTCTCTCTCTAAGGATGTAAATTCTAGCATTTTTATTCCTTGAAGTGTCCTCCCTGCGCTGCGCCCATTTCCTCCGAATAGCTTTCCGTTTGTCCTGTTTGTGTGTGAACTTGACCGTGGATGCTTTCCCCAGGAGTCTGAAGATTTGGGGCTGTCCACCCAGCAAGTCAGGCACTACCAGGCTGACTGCAGCTCTGTGTGTGGCCACATTGTTCCGTGATCCCGGGGGAGGCCTCATCGGAGACCCCTTCCTGTTAGGATCTTTGTGGCTTTCCAAGTGGATGAATGAGATCCCTCAAAGGAAAGGGTTCGAACGCCTTGTCTTGGAGACGATAATCCTTTGGCTGCCAGTGTTCTGAGAGCCAAGTGGGGAAGAGGGGGTGGCCTCAGACTCAAACCATCCCAGGAGCGATATCTCTCTGTGTGGTCCAGAGAACACACCTTCTCCAGGCATCAGCCACAGTGGGGGTGAGGGGGTGGCCTCAGACTCAAACCATCCCAGGAGAAACCTACCTCTCTCTGTGTGGTCCAGAGAACACACCTTCTCCAGGCGTCAGCCACAGTGGGGGTCACTCACCTTCTGTGAGAGGTGGAGGAGCAGGCTTCTTGCCCTGTCTCCCGCAAGCCTTTTATTTCAGGCCTGCCTTCGCCCGACACCCATGGGTGCTGACACTCCCGTTCTGTGCCTCTCGGGTTTGAGCTGCAAATGTGCTTGCCTGCAGCTCCACCAGCCTTCGGCTTCCTCGGTAGGATGTGCGGACACTGCTGACCCAGCTCCCACGGCTCCTCTTCTGTTCCTTTTGTCCTCAAAGGCTTGTGCCACATTCTTCTTTCCTCCTGTTTATCGAGACAGGGTCTGGCTCTGTCAACGAGGCTGGAGTGCAGTGGTGCGATCATGGCTCACTGCAGCCTCAAACTCCTGGGCTCAAGTGATCCTCCCACCTCAGCCTCCTAAGTAGTTGGGACTACAGGTGTGCGCCACCATGCCCAGCTATTTTTTAAAATTTTTTATAGAGATGGGGTCTCACTATGTTAGCCAGGCTGGTCTTGAACTCCTGGCCTCAATCAATCCTCCTGCCTTGGCCTCCCGATGTGCTGGAATCACAGATGTGAGCCACCACACCCAGCCTCCTTCTTCTTTTTCTCCTTCTCTATCTTCCTTGCCTCTACTGTCTTTTTAGAGAGATTTTTAGATAGAAACAAAATAAAATCTCATACACACACACACACACACACACACACACAAAACCCACACATACAAGAACCCACTGTGTATTCAATTCATCTACACGTAAGTCCCTTTCTGCTTTTTCAAACAACGTTATGCTCCAAACAGGGATAAATTAAAATAATGAGTGAGTCCACCATGAGGCCTCTCTCTCCTAAACAGCAAAGCCACTGCCGGGAAGGGGCCTGAGCTCTGTTTCCATGGCTGCTTCCTTTGCTTGTTTGACATAAATCGGTTGATGATTCTAAACCAAAATGTCACTTGTTTATTGCTCATGTTAAGCAGCAGACATAACTCTCTCCCAGAAGGCAGGCATCTCCCAGTGTGTGACATTGCCATGTTTTCTTCACAGCGCCGGGTCTTGGTATCTAGTAGGTGCCAGTTAACAAATGTTTGAACGACTTGGCGCATAAACAACCGTTTCATCGATTATGTAACTAATCAGCACCTGGTTAGTGCAGAAATGCCTGTAAATGGCATGTTTCCTTTCTTCCTTAGTTTGTTTCTGCTTATATACAAATATCTGTCAGTTGCTAATTCTTCCATCGCGTCTGCTGCGTTCTTGGTGTCTCCGACCAGACTGTAAGCTGCTTGAAAATACGGATCGCCTTCGAATTGTGTAACCGAGAAACGGGGGGGAGCGGGCACCGTGTCTTTGAGATGACCCAGGAGCCGCACAGAGGTGGGGAAATGAGGGCAGAGAAACCAGCCCAGGCCTTGGGGGCCTCAGAGTCCAGGCAGGACCTGGGTTTCTGATTGTGCCTCGGAAGTGAATCAGCACCACCGCCTTCTGTCCTTGGGACGTTCCGCTGAGCACCACCGTGGGAGACGCCGACAGCCGAGCGGGGCCCTCAGCCCGGCCTTGCCCCACGGGCACTCCCAGCAGGACAGACACAGACACACGGCTGGAAGGACCCATTCTCCCAAGGAAACTGGCACTGTGTGGACCACAGGCAGGCGGGTGCTGAGCCGCGAGGACCTAGCAGGTCCCCCGTCCACTCCCGGCCTGACCCTGCATGGCTCCCAGGCAGCCCTCTCGGGCCTCAGCGTGCAAGGCAGCCCTGGGTGGAGGCCCCACCTGGGGTCATTCATCACAGCCTGTGCATCTACACTGAGTGTGTGTCAGTGTTCCATAAGCCTCACTCCCAGGGCTCCTGGTGGGGCCTGGCCCCACAGTAGGTGTTTATCTTGTCCACCGCCTCAGAGCTGTGCTGTTCTGTGCTGTCCTGAGCTGTCTACGCCCATGACAAACACACAGCTGGTGAGGTCCCTCTCTCCCCGCAGCCCCGGCACCCCACAGTCAGCACAGTCCTGGCCACTGTCGCCTTTTCATCACAAACACCCTCATTAGTTAGCGGGGCCAACAGCGTTATCTTCAGAGGGGTCAGGAAACCCGGTGTTACTCTGGGCTTAGGCTTGGACCCTGCGTTTTGTGGCCCATGACCTTTAACATCGACGTGGCCTCTGACGTCTGACATGTCCATTGAGCCAGACCTCTGCTAACTTCAGCACATTCCAGTTTTTATGAAGCCCAAATTGATCATCTGCTGCAACAGCGTTTGACATCCTGGTTTCAGGTTCCTTCGTCTATCCTTGGCCCTAATCCACAGATTTCTGGGGACTGTGCCCTAGCCCACAGGAAAAAAAAAAACAGATATAACTAATGTTACTAAAATATTACTAAAACCATATTTCAAAAAATGAATCTGGGCTGGGCATGGTGACCCACGCCTGTAATCCCAGCACTCTGGGAGGCCGAGGCGGGCAGATCACGAGGTCGGGAGTTCGAGACCAGCCTGGCCAACATGGTGAAACCCCATCTCTACTAAAAATACAAAAATTAGCCAGGCGTGGTGGCGGGCGCCTGTAATCACAGCTACATGGGAGGCTGAGGCAGGAGAATCATCTGAACCTGGGAGGCAGAGATTACAGTGAGCAGAGATCACGCCACTGCACTCTAGCCTGGGCAACAGAGCGAGACTCTGTCTCAAAAATATAAATAAAAAGATTTGGATCACCCTCAACTCACAGCCAGGTTTATAAATGGGGGCATCTACATTTTTAGGCCTTAGAACTTGTTTATGGAACTTACCACATTCTCCCTGCTATGGTTTGAATGTGTCCCCCAAAAATACATGTTGGAAACTTCATCCCCAAGGCAACAGCACTGAGAGGTGGGGCCATATGGGGGTTGTTTGAGTCACAAGGGCTCCACCCTCACGAAGGGCTTAATGCTGATGCAACTTTGAGCCTGTGCTCTCTCTTGCCGTGTGACTGACACCTTCCACCATGTCATGACACGTCAAGAAGGACCCTCGATCTTGGACTTCCCAGCCTCTGGAACCATGAGCCAAATAAACATTGACTATTTCTTAATTACCCAGCCTGTGGTGTTCTGCTATTGTGTTGCAAAATGGACTCAGACACTCCCTTACATTGTCACTGAAGGCATCTTTTCCCCTTTATTAGGTTGAATTTGTAAACTCCTGGAAGATGGGGACCATAACCCATTCATCTTTCTATTTCCCACACTTCTGTTTAGACACCAGAGGAATTATGACATTTTAATATATCCAAAAGCCCCCAGGAGAACACGCAAATGCCCAGCCCTGTGCTGATCATTCAGATTCTGCACGTTGGAGGCAGGGCCCCAGCTCCCCAAGCCATGTGCAATGGCTGGTCCTCAGAGCACATGTCAAGGAATAGCAGCGTGGTGGATAAGAAGCACGTGGTGAAAATGAACCAAGAAAGAAGATGATGGGGTGAGAAAGATCCACGGTCACTCACTTGTGAAGTCAGGGTGTCTCTGGAACTCAAGCTTCATGAACTTGACATGCTTCTGTCTTCCTACCCCATTTTAAACATATGGTTAAAAATAGCAGGTCACTGTGGTGATCCTGGGGTGGGGGAGGACCAAGGCCTGGACTACCATGGTATGTGGGGTGCAGAGAGCAGGCACCTGGCCACAGGCTGGAGGAAGGAGAAGGAGAAAGGAAATGGCAAGTCTGGGAAACGCTACTGCTGCACAGTTTAGTGCAAGCTTAGAGTGGAGAGCAACATCCAGCTACCACCTCAGCTTCTGTAGGTCAGAATTCTGTGCACGTGAAGCTCAGCCCTCTGCCCAGGGTCTCGGGAGGCTGCGTCCGGAGTTCAGGTGGTCTCATCTGGAGTTCAGGTGGTCTCCTCTGGAGTGAGTTCCGGTGGTCTTCCGAGCTCACTGAGGCTACGGCAGAAGTCAGACCCTGTGGTTGTCTGAGGGAGGTCCCTGGCTTTGGCTGGCTGTTGGCCAGTGGGAGTTCAAAGCTTAGGTCTCTGCATTCTTCCTTGAGGCCAGCCAGAGGAAAATTTTGCTTTTCAAGAGCTTACCTGATTGGGTCAGGCCTACTTGATATTATTTTTCTTTTGATTAACTGAGTCAACTGGCTTGGGACCTTGATTCCGTCTATAAATCCCTTTTGCCACATGACATTGCATAATCACAGGATTTGTATCACACCAAGCTAACAGGTTTGTCCCACACATGACAGGAGGAGGGTCACTGAGTACAGTCATCTCTGTGTCAAGGAAGCCAAATTCTTATTTTAAGCCTTGACCTCTCCCTTGCACTCTTACGGACTGAGTTGTGTGTCCCCAAATTTACATGTTGAAGTCCTAACCCCCCATGTGACTGCATTTGCAGACAGGGCCTATATGAGGGTAATAAGGTTAAATGAAGTCATATTGTTGGGCCCGAACCCAAAAGGATTGGTATTCTTTTTTTTTTTTTTTTTTTTTTGGAGATGGAGTTTCACTCTTGTTGCCCAGGCTGGAGTCCCAATGGTGTGATCTTGGCTCACTGCAACCTCTGCCTCCTGGGTTCAAGTGATTCTCCTGCCTCAGCCTCCCAAATAGCTGGAATTACAGGCATGAGCTACCACACCTGGCTAATTTTTTTTGTATTTTTAGCAGAGATGGGGTTTCGCCACGTTGGCCAGGCTGGTCTCGAACTCCCGACCTCAGGTGATCCACCGGCCTTGGCCTCCCAAAGTGCTGGGATTACAGGTGTGAGCCACCATGTCCGGCCTAGGATTGGTATTCTTATAAGAAGAGGAGATTGGGACACACAAGTGCACAGAGGGAAGATGAAAGGAAGACACAGGGAGAAGTTGCCTGCTATGGTTTGGATATTTGTCTCCCCAAACCTCATGTTGAAATATGATCCCCAGTGTTGGAGGTGGGGCCCAGTGGGAGGTGTTCAGGTTATGCCCCTGGATCCCTCATGAGTGGCTGGTGCTGTCCTGGCAGGAATGAGAGAGTTCTTGCTCTATGAGTTCCCCCAAGAGCTCATTGTTAAAAAGAGCCTGGTGCCTGCCCCCTCTCTCTCGTCTCCTCTCTGGCCACATCATCTCTGTACAAGCAGCTCCTCTTCACCTTCTGCCATGAGTGGACCTTCCCGAGGCCTCATCAGAAGCAGATGCTGGCACCACGCCGCCATGAGTGGACCTTCCCGAGGCCTCCCCAGAAGCAGATGCTGGCACCACGCCGCCATGAGTGGACCTTCCCGAGGCCTCACCAGAAGCAGATGCTGGCACCACGCTGCCATGAGTGGACCTTCCCGAGGCCTCCCCAGAAGCAGATGCTGGCACCACGCTGCCATGAGTGGACCTTCCCGAGGCCTCACCAGAAGCAGATGCTGGCACCACGCCGCCATGAGTGGACCTTCCCGAGGCCTCACCTGAAGCAGATGCTAGTACCATGCTTCTTGTACAGCCCGCAGAACCGTGAGCCAAATAAACCTCCTTTCTTTATGAATTACCCAGCCTCAGGTGTGCCTTTATAGCAACACGAATGGACTAAGACAACAGCCATCAACGAGCCAAGAAGAAATATGAGTTTCTGACCTACGTCATTTTCCTTCTCTGAAGAACTTCTTTTAACATTTCTTGCAAGGCAGATCTACTGACAACAAATCCCCTCAGGTAATTTCACTGGACACAGAACTTAGGTAGGTGGTTTTGTCTTCCCACACTCCAGCAGGCATCAGTGGCAGTTTGGCGTTCCTACTGGTGCTGGATCCACACGGGGCTTCCGCTCCTGCTGTGCTCCTCTGTGTTCTGCCTCTCTGGGGCTTTGGGCAGTGATTTTTCCCTATGCCTCGATTCTGTGGCAGACCAAAGAAAAGGTGTTGATTTTCACATTGTTGTGCTTTTTTCTTGTTCTGAGAATATAAATGATGACATCCCAGCTCCTTACATGCCAGAGTGGAGTCCTCAATGCTCTAAGGGGTCCCTGAAATTAACCGTGTTAATTACATAATTAATTCATCAATCATTTGGTAATGACCCTCTCTTCCATTCTTTTTTTTTTTTTTTTTTTTTTTTTTTTTTGAGACAGAGTCTCACTCTGTTGCCCTGGCTGGAGTGCAGTGGCATGATCTTGGCTCACTGCAACCTCCACCTCCCAGGTTCAAGTGATTCTCCTGCCTCAGCCTCCCGAGTAGCTGAGATTACAGGTGTGCTACCACACCCAGCTAATTTTTTTTATATTTTTAGTAGAGATGGGGTTTCACCACGTTGGACAAGCTGGTCTCAAACTCCTGACCTCAAATGATCCACCCTCCTTGGCCTCCCAAAGTGCTGGGATTACAGGAGTGAGCCACCATACCCAGCGCCTCCCACCATACCCAGCGCCTCCCTCCCGTTCTTAGTCCGCAGTTTACACTGGGGGTCAGTCTTGCTGTTGTACATCCTATGGGTTTGGACAAATGTATGATGACATGGATTCACCACTGCAGTATCCTACAGAATCATTTTACTGGCCTAGTAATCCTCTGTGCTCCCCCTCTCATCCCTCCCCCTCTGTCAACCCCTGGCAATCACTCATCTTATTACTGATCTTATTATCCCCAGTTCCGCCTTTTCCAAAACGTTCTGTCGTTGGACTCGTAGAGAATGTGGCCTTTTCAGATTGGCTTCTTCCGCTTAGTGACATGCATTCAAGGTTCCTCCATGCCTTTTCATGGCTTGATCGCTCATTCTTTCTATTGTTGAACAATCTTGTTTCCAACAACTGCAAGACATTTCACAATGAAGAATGCCCATGTGTGGGTGATTCATGAGGGGACACGAGGAGGTGGGATTGACGAGGAGGTGGGATTGACGAGGAGGTGGGATTGAGGAGGAGGTGGGATTGAGGAGGAGGTGGATTGACGAGGAGGTGGATTGACGAGGAGGTGGATTGACGAGGAGGTGGGAATGACGAGGAGGTGGGAATGACGAGGAGGTGGGAATGACGAGGAGGTGGGAATGACGAGGAGGTGGGAATGACGGGGAGGTGGATTGACGGGGAGGTGGATTGACGGGGAGGTGGGATTGACGGGGAGGTGGATTGACGGGGAGGTGGGATTGACGGGGAGGTGGATTGACGGGGAGGTGGATTGACGGGGAGGTGGATTGACGGGGAGGTGGGATTGACGGGGAGGTGGATTGACGGGGAGGTGGATTGACGGGGGGGAGGTGGGATTGACGGGGAGGTGGATTGACGGGGAGGTGGGATTGACGGGGAGGTGGATTGACGGGGAGGTGGATTGACGGGGAGGTGGATTGACGGGGAGGTGGTTGACGGGGAGGTGGATTGATGGGGAGGTGGATTGATGGGGAGGTGGATTGACGGGGAGGTGGATTGATGGGGAGGTGGATTGATGAGGAGGTGGGATTGATGAGGAGGTGGGATTGACGGGGAGGTGGGATTGATGAGGAGGTGGGATTGCTGAACCAGCAGGAATGCCTGCTTTACACCTTTCACCAACAAATGCTGCCAAATTTCCCTTCCCAGCAGTTGCATCACTAGGGGAGAATACGCATATTTCCACACCCCTGCAGCCCAGTACATCTCACATTTTCAGGAATAAATTTTCCAAACTTCTCTGAAGGTGTCCTGGGACCACAAACTCTATATCCAAACTCAGCCAGCACCCACTGTCAACCACACCTAGTCCACCTGCCCTGCCCTGCCATCTCCAGGGACTCGGCAACCACCAGCCCAGGGCCGTTGCCTGTGGGGACCTCAGGCGGAGCGTCCTTCCTCTGCCCAGAGACTCCACTCTTCCAAATGCCACTCCATCCTGGCTGAAGTTGCTCCTCCTGGGCTCTTTGTCCTTCTGGTCTAATGCGTTTTGTTTCTTTCTGTTCTTTCAGAATTAATGTTTCATGTTCAACCTGAAGTCTCTGATAAGTACTTTAAGTCCAAGCTGGCATAGTGGGTGATGTGGGCAGCAGGCCTGTGACTCCACGTGGACCCCCATGAACGTTGTCAGTGTGTCTACGCGAAGCTGTACCATTTACAGGAGAAACACTGGGTGGTGAGACTTGGATGAGGTCAGCAGAGAAAGCGGCTAAACGGATTCACCCGTCCCTTCAGGTGACTGTGGAGCTATGAAGACCTGAGGCAGGTACTTTTGTGCTAACAAAGAAGGATGTTTATGACATAATTTTAGGGGAAGATATAAATCAGAGGTGTGGGGTGTGCAGAGGCCCCTGCCTTCCCTGGTGGGTGGATAACACCTGCACCAACATCCCCAGCAAGGCTACACAGGTGCTTTTCTTGGCAGCCATCAAGAGAAAGGGACCTGCCTTAGGCTGCAGGATGCTTAAACATTTCAAAGGTCCCTTGAAGAAAGGAGAAGAACATCAGGAGAGGTAGTGGTGCGTGCCAAGGCACTGAGCGTGAGGAACAAGGTGCTTTCACGGGGTGTCTGCGCCCAGGTGCAGCCGGTGTCCCTGGGCCTGACAGTGGTCAGATAGTCAGGTCCCAGAAGAGGCAGGTTTGCAAGCACCCAGCTAAGCCAGGGAGCAGCTGACCAGCAAGACAGGTCAGCTCTCAGGGACCCTTCAGCCCAAGGGCTGCGGGGAGCACCGGGTGGATGTTGAGCAAATCCAAGTGACAACCCAGTGGGCACTTTAGGAACATACCACAGTTACGCGGAGGAAATCAATCGGAGGCCAGGCATCGTGGCTCACGCCTGTAATCCCAGCACTCTGGGAGGCTGAGGCAGATGGACTGTTTGAGCCCAGGAGTTTGAGACCAGTCTGGGCAACATGGCGAAACCCCATCTCTACAAACAACGCAAAAATCAGCCAGGCGTGGTGGTGCACACTTGTGGTCCCAGCTACTGAGGAGGCTGAGGAGGGAGGAGGGCTTGAACCAGGGAGGCAGAGGTTGCAGTGAACCAAGACCACACCACTGCACTCCAGCCTGGGCAATAGAGCCAGACCCAGAAAAAAAAAAAAAAAAAAGAAAGAAAATGAATTGAAAAGGGTAAGATTACAGGCAAGAATATTTTATAAAATCTCTAAGCGTGATTCAAAAGGCCAAAATCATACCCCGCAAAGCTTAGATTTAACCTTATAAAATTTTTATTATATTTGAGTGTCATAAGAACACAATTAAGGATACATATAACCCAAAAAATAATCCCATCACATATTAAAAAGCATTTATATTTTTGGTATACAAAGTCTAACAATAAAATAAGAACACCAGCTCCAAAATCGACAAATAAGCAATTCATATAAGTATCTAAAAACATTCATCATCAATCCCAAAATTGCCAATAGAGTAATGAACTACAGGCTGGATATGGTGGCTTACCCCTGTAATCCCAGCACTTTGGGAGGCCGAGGTGGGTGGATCACTTGAGGTCAGGAGTTTGAGACCAGCCTGACCAACATAGTGAAACCCTGTCTCTACTAAAAACAAAACAAAAATCAGCCGAGTGTGATGGCACACGTCTGTAATCCCAGCTACTCGGGAGGCTGAGGCAGGATAATCGCTTGAACCCCAGAGGTGCAGGTTGCAGTGAGCTGAGATTGTGCCACTGCACTCCAGCCTGGGTGACACAGCAAAGACCTTGTTTCAAAAATAAAAATAAAAGTAAAAAAATAAGAGGGTTCAGGAGAAGGACCAGATTCCCCGGAAGGAAGAGCTTGCACTCTCCCATCACAAAAGTGCTTCTGAACAGTGAGCAGGGCTGCTGGTTTGGGATTTGAGGCTTTGCTGTTTTCCCATTTGGAGTTCATTCCCATCACAGAATGACAGGATGTAAAGGAGCAAACTGTTCACCGCGTCTCAGGCTCCAGACGAGGCCTTGGAGATGTCAAGCTCTTCTTCAGTGTCTGCCTACATCCTATCTCATGCGTCACCTTCCTGGCCCAAATTAAGAGCTCCTGCAGTGTCTTTACCCTTCTCCTGACCCCCCAGGCCTAGCTCCAAGCCACATACCTTGGGCCTGGAGGGACTTTCCTCTCGGCTACAGGCCATGGCTCTAGCAACAGGTGTGGGAGCCCTGGATCCTGTAGCCCACAGCCCACCCTCCAGGGAGCAGTCCAGTCGGAAACTGCTTAGTGCTTGTCTTTTAGGCTGATTGGAATCCTAAATTAAAGAATTTTTGGGCCGGGCACAGTGGCTGTAATCCCAGCACTTTGGGATACCGAGGATACCGAGGCGGGCGGATCACGAGGTCAGGAGATCGAGACCATCCTGGCTAACACGGTGAAACTCCATCTCTACTAAAAATACAAAAAATTAGCTGGGCGTGGTGGCGGGCGCCTGTAGTCCCAGCTACTAGGGAGGCTGAGGCAGGAGAATGGCGTGAACCCGGGAGGCAGACCTTGCAGTGAGCCGAGATCGCGCCACTGCACTCCAGCCTGGGGGACACAGTGAGACTCTGTCTCAAAAAAAAGAAAAAAAAAAAGAATTTCTGAGTGAGACAACACTGCTTGAACCCCTTAGACGCAGGTGTACTCCTGGGCCCATAGTCAGGGGCTCATACGTACTCCCATAACGTAACTGTGTAGTTTGTGGTGTCCGTCCAGCTCCAAGCTGCCGTCACGCTCAGCTGTAGGGGTTGGCTTGGGTATAATTTGATGGAATCTGTCAGGGTTCGTGGAGTCATTGCCATCTGAGTCAGCTCCCAGAGCCGCTGTGCAAAGAAGGTGCCCATTTGGTGGATTAGCCGGAAACCTGGCAGGAGCCTCCTGTCCTGCAGATCCTGTGTCCCCACCTCTGTGGGGCACCTGGCAGGCACTGGGGCAGGAAGTGGGAGCCTCAAACTGCAGGGGCCAGGGTGGGAGGGAAGGACGCTCAGCCAGTGGGGAACAGTGGCCTCAGGCGGGCGTGAGAGGGGAAACAGTCGCCTCAGGTGGGAGTGAGAGGAGGAACTCAAGGCCAGGTTTCCAAATGGCCTCACACAGTTTCCTTTCTGCCAGGATTTTCAAAGGATTAGAGTTCTTTTTTTTTTAATTAACAGTGCAGTTTCAAGTTATTCCAGTGAATAGGGCAGTCCTTACTTTGTTTATTTCCTGCTACAACTCAACTTAAAGCAGAAAGAACACTAAGCTCTCCAGATTTTGAAGTCAGGCAGCCCGGAAAAGCTCTTTAATAACCATGGTGTTAGCAAACGTAAACTCCCCGTCCTGGGCAACAGGTGGAGACACGTGTGGAGGGGCCGTGGAGGGTCTTATTGAAGAGGCAAAGGCCCGAGTTGAAGGTCTGAGTGTTAGGAGCGAGGACATGCTCCAATCAGCAGCATTTTGGAGGTTTATCAATTACTGGCACCAAAACCACAGAACAGGGAGTCATCTCAGGAAGCACAGAAGTGCCAGAAACCCTTCTAATCCCTTGGGGACTAGGGACAAGGAAGAACGACCTGGCAGTGTACTCAGGCACCTGCCTAAGCTGCCACCCCATAGCCTGCCTGGCGCCTGTGGTGTGGGCCCCCCACGGGCTGCAGTCCTGGCTGGGTCGAGGGGGCAGGGGCAGACTGAAGTGAGGCAGGGGTGGGGCCCTCAGTTCAGAAGTCGGGGTGTTACCTCCACCACCTCAGAAGCCCCCTGGGGTGAAGAGGGAGGGAATGTGAGCCTACTGTTGGGAGGAGTGTCAGAGCTGCCCGAGAGTGTGGCTGTGGGATGGGAGCTGTCCTGGGGAAGCGTGGATGGGAGCTGTCCTGGGGAAGGGTGGATGGGAGCTGTCCTGGGGAAGCGTGGATGGGAGCTGTCCTGGGGAAGCGTGGATGGGAGCTGTCCTGGGGAAGCGTGGATGGGAGCTGTCCTGGGGAAGCGTGGATGGGAGCTGTCCTGGGGAAGGGTGGATGGGAGCTGTCCTGGGGAAGCGTGGATGGGAGCTGTCCTGGGGAAGCGTGGATGGGAGCTGTCCTGGGGAAGCGTGGATGGGAGCTGTCCTGGGGAAGCGTGGATGGGAGCTGTCCTGGGGAAGCGTGGATGGGAGCTGTCCTGGGGAAGCGTGGATGGGAGCTGTCCTGGGGAAGCGTGGATGGGAGCTGTCCTGGGAAGTGCGGGGAGGAGACATCTGCCATGCATGTGTCGCACCAGCAGTGAGCGAATGCGCCCGGCCGGTACCCTGAAGGACTCCGCTGCCACTCACGGCCGCACCCCCAGACCCACGGGTCCCATTTAGGTTCTGTGGCCTCTCGGTCCCGTGACTCCACGCAGCAGCTGTGTCCTCCTCCCGACCTCAGGCAGCCAAGGCCATGTCCCGACTCCCATTCCACGGGGCCCAACTTTTCGCACCTCTTCTCTGAGCCACCGGTCTGAATGAGCCCAGCTACCCTCCCTGGCTCTGCCTCACACCCCCGTCTTTCCATCACATTCACCACTGCCGCAGATGTCCTTATCACACACTTCTTTCCTACTGGTTGTTTAGAGCCCCCTTTTCGTCCGCGTCCACATGTAGGAGGCCTGGAGCAGGAGCCCTTCCCCAGCCGGGCTGGTGGACACAGGCTACCATAAAAGACGGGCTGGTGGACACAGGCCACCATAAAAGACGGGCTGGTGGACACAGGCCACCATAAAAGACAGGCCTTTGGCTGAAGCTGTAGGTGGTCTCGACTTTGCAGCTCAAAGTGCAGCAGATGGCGCAAAAACTAATGAGCATGTTCCCAAGGCCACGGAGATCCAGCCTGCGTGCCTCGGACTTCCTAGGCTGCCCAGCTGCTGGTGTGAGCAAGGGTGCAGCCCTCCCGGCCAATGTCACACACAGACAGGACTCCAGGATAAACCCATGTGGCTCTGCCTGGCAGGCCTGGCCTCCGCCTTGCACCTTGCCTTCCCCTTGCTCCGAATCAGCAAACGCCTCCAGGCTGAAGCGAGCTCCCGTCTTTCCTTGGAGCTTGCTCAGGGATTCTTCATGTCCTGTTAGTCCTCTGATGTTTTCCAGAAGACTTTGAATGCTGCCTCTTCAGTGGTCTCCAGAGGGCTGGACTGCCTAGCCTACACATCCTGAGGCAGAAGCCTTACAACCGGCGTCTCTTCATGCTTCTAGCGCATCCTAGGAGACATCTTCCAGCAAATCCTGCCAATTACACACTGGGGCCCATTCTGTTATGCACTTGGTTCTGGGCTGCTGCAATTTCTTCCTTTTAAAGGTTGTCTGTTATGCAGTTGGTTCTGGGCTGGTGCGATTTCTTCCTTTTAAAGGTTGCCTGTTATGCAGTTGGTTCTGGACTGGTGCGATTTCTTCCTTTTAAAGGTTGTCTGTTATGCAGTTGGTTCTGGACTGGTGCGATTTCTTCCTTTTAAAGGTTGTCTGTTATGCAGTTGGTTCTGGGCTGGTGCGATTTCTTCCTTTTAAAGGTTGTCTGTTATGCAGTTGGTTCTGGGCTGGTGCGATTTCTTCCTTTTAAAGGTTGTCTGTTATGCAGTTGGTTCTGGGCTGGTGCGATTTCTTCCTTTTAAAGGTTGTCTGTTATGCAGTTGGTTCTGGGCTGGTGCGATTTCTTCCTTTTAAAGGTTGTCTGTTATGCAGTTGGTTCTGGGCTGGTGCGATTTCTTCCTTTTAAAGGTTGTCTGTTATGCAGTTGGTTGTGGGCTGGTGCGATTTCTTCCTTTTAAAGGTTGTCTGTTATGCAGTTGGTTGTGGGCTGGTGCGATTTCTTCCTTTTAAAGGTTGTCTGTTATGCAGTTGGTTGTGGGCTGGTGCGATTTCTTCCTTTTAAAGGTTGTCTGTTATGCAGTTGGTTCTGGGCTGGTGCGATTTCTTCCTTTTAAAGGTTGTCTGTTATGCAGTTGGTTCTGGGCTGGTGCGATTTCTTCCTTTTAAAGGTTGTCTGTTATGCAGTTGGTTCTGGGCTGGTGCGATTTCTTCCTTTTAAAGGTTGTCTGTTATGCAGTTGGTTCTGGGCTGGTGCGATTTCTTCCTTTTAAAGGTTGTCTGTTATGCAGTTGGTTCTGGGCTGGTGCGATTTCTTCCTTTTAAAGGTTGTCTGTTATGCAGTTGGTTCTGGGCTGGTGCGATTTCTTCCTTTTAAAGGTTGTCTGTTATGCAGTTGGTTGTGGGCTGGTGCGATTTCTTCCTTTTAAAGGTTGTCTGTTATGCAGTTGGTTCTGGGCTGGTGCGATTTCTTCCTTTTAAAGGTTGTCTGTTATGCAGTTGGTTCTGGGCTGGTGCGATTTCTTCCTTTTAAAGGTTGTCTGTTATGCAGTTGGTTCTGGGCTGGTGCGATTTCTTCCTTTTAAAGGTTGTCTTTTATGCAGTTGGTTCTGGGCTGGTGCGATTTCTTCCTTTTAAAGGTTGTCTGTTATGCAGTTGGTTGTGGGCTGGTGCGATTTCTTCCTTTTAAAGGTTGTCTGTTATGCAGTTGGGTCTGGGCTGGTGCGATTTCTTCCTTTTAAAGGTTGTCTGTTATGCAGTTGGTTCTGGACTGCTGCGATTTCTTCCTTTTTTTTTTTTTTTTTTTTTTTTGAGATGGAGTCTCGCTCTGTCACCCAGGCTGGAGTGCAGCATCTTGATCTCAGCTCACTGCAAGCTCCACCTCCCAGGTTCATGCCATTTTCCTGCCTCAGCCTCCCAAGTAGCTGGGACTACAGGTGCCCGCCACCAAGCCCGGCTAATTTTTTTTTTATTTTTAGTACAGATGGGGTTTCACCGTGTTAGCCAGGATGGTCTTGATCTCCTGACCTTGTGATCCACCCACTTTGGCCTCCCAAAGTGCTGGGATTATAGGCGTGAGCCACTGCACCAGGCCGATTTCTTCCTTTTAAAGTTTGTATGTTATGCAGTTGATTCTGGGCTGGTGCGATTTCTTCCTTTTAAAGGTTGTATGTTATGCAGTTGGTTCTGGGCTGCTGCGATTTCTTCCTTTTAAAGGTTGTATGTTATGCAGTTGGTTCTGGGCTGCTGCGATTTCTTCCTTTTAAAGGTTGTATGTTATGCAGTTGGTTCTGGGCTGCTGCGATTTCTTCCTTTTAAAGGTTGTATGTTATGCAGTTGGTTCTGGGCTGGTGTGATTTCTTCGTTTTAAAGGTTGTCTGTTATGCAGTTGATTCTGGGCTGGTGCAATTTCTTCCTCTTAAAGGTTGTATGTTAAACTCCCTGGAGCTCTATCTGTGGCTCCTAGTGGCAGCCTCTTCTCGTCCTGGGATGCAACATCACCCTGGATGTCCCTGAAGTCACCACTTGGTCTCCTGTTTGAAGTTCCTGGCAAAGTGGACATTGTTTTTAATTCAGCCATCTCTGCAGAGTGGACTTTTTTTTTTTAGACAGAGTCTGGCTCTGTCACCCAGGCTGGAGTGCAGTGGCGCGATCTCGGCTCATTGCAACCTCTACCTCATGGGTTCAAGCGGTTCTAGTTGCCTCAGCCTCTCGAGTTGGGATTACAGGCACCCACCACCATGCCCAGCTAAGTTTTGTATTTTAGTAGAGACGGGGTTTCACCATATTGGCCAGGCTGGTCTCGAACTCCTGACCTCAGGTGATCCACCTGCCTCAGCCTCCCAAAGTGCTGGGATTACAGGCATGAGCCACGGCACCCGGCCTAAAAAACTGTTAAAAAATAGAAATAAAGGGAAGCTTCCTCAACTTAATAAAGAACATCTATAAAACACCTGCAGCTAACAGGATACTTAATGGAAAAGACTGAAGCTCCCAGCCTAAGATCAGGAACAAGGCAAGGATGCCTGTTATCACCACTGTATTCAACATGGTGCTAGCAGTCCTAGCTATTGCAATAAGGCAAAAACAGAAAATAAAGGGAAAAGAAGAAAGAGAGAGAGACTGAGAGAGAGAGAGAAGGAAGGGAGAGAGAGACTGAGAGAGAAGGAAGGCAGACAGGCAGGCGGGAAGGACGGAAAGAAGCTGTCCCCTATTTGCAGATGACATGATTGTCCACAGAGAAAATCCCAAGGAATCTCAAAAAAAAAAACCCTCCTACAACTAACAAGTGAGTTCATCAGGATCACAGGATACATGACAAACATACAAAATTCAATAATATTTCCATATACTAGTAATGAATACAAAGATACCAAAATGAATAATACAATATTATTTACAGTCACTCAAAAAAATACTTAGGTATAAATCTAAGACATGTACAGGATCTATATGCTGAAAACTACAAAATGCCAGTGAAAGAAATCAAAGAAAGCCTAAATAAAGAGAGAGACGCAGGGTGTTCATCGATTGGAAGACTCATTATAGCAAAAATATCATTTTTCCCAAAATGATATATAGATTTAATGCAATTCCTATTGAAATGCCAGCAAATGTCATGCAGACATAGAGAAGATTTTTCTAAAATCTCTATGTACAGACAAAGGAATGAGAGTAGCTAAAGCAATTTTGAAAAGGAATAAAGTGATGGACTCAATCTACCTGATTTCAAAATGGATCACAGACTTAAATGTAAAATGCAAAACTATCAACCTTTTAGAAAATAAACAGAGAAAATCTTTGGGATTGAAGACTAAGAAATGATTTCTTACCAGCATGATAATATATAAGATTGCTTACCAGCATCACAATATATAAAAGGAAAAATAGAAAAATTGGACTTCACAAAAAATAAAAACTTTTGCTCCGCAAAAGGCTATGTTAAGAAGATGAAAAGACAAGCTACAAACTGAGAGAAAATATTCTGAATATATTCAGACTACATATCCAACACAGATTAGTGCCTCAAATATACAAAGAACTCTCAAAACTCAACGGTTAAAAAAAAAAGCTAAGGCCAGGCACAGTGGCTCACGCCTGTAATCCAAGCACTGTGGAAGGCCAAGGAGGGTGGATTGCTTGAGCCCAGGAGGTCAAGACCAGCGTGGGCAACATGGCAAAACCTCAACTATACAGAAAAAACAAACATTAGCTGGGCGTGGTGGCACGCACCTGTAGTCCCAGCTACCTGGAAGGCTGAGGCTGCAGAGAGCTGTTATCGCACCACTGCACTGCAGCCTCGACAATACAGTGAAACCCTGTGTCAAAAAAAGAAAAAAAAAGTGCAGTCCAGTTAGAAAAATCAGCAAAAGACAGGAAAAAACATTTCACCAAAGAGGATACGAATGGCAAATAAGCACAAGAAGAGATGTCCGAGAGAATGACACCGAACATAGTGGGCCCTTAGGGAAATGCAAATTAAAACAACAACAAGACAGCCCTGCACATCTATCCACATGGCTGAAAATAACAGAGTGATGCAGCGGCACGTGGGTGAGGACGGGGAGAGCAGATCACTCACCCGGGGCTGGTGGGATGTAAGATGGTACAGCTGCCTGGAAAACGGGTTGGAGGTCACTCACCTGGGGCTCGTGGGATGTAAGATGGTACAGCTGCCTGGAAAACAGGTTGGAGATCACTCATGTGGGACTGGTGGGATGTAAGATGGTACAGCCACCTGGAAAACAACTTGGAGATCACTCACTCACACGGGGCTGGTGGGATGTAAGATGGTACAGCCGCCTGGAAAACGGGTTGGAGATCACTCACTCACGCGGGGCTGGTGGGATGTAAGATGGTACAGCTGCCTGGAAAACGGGTTGGAGATCACTCACTCACGCGGGGCTGGTGGGATGTAAGATGGTACAGCTGCCTGGAAAACGGGTTGGAGATCACTCACTCACGTGGGGCTGGTGGGATGTTAGATGGTAGAGCCGCCTGGGAAATGGGTTGGAGATCATTCACTCACTCGGGGCTGGTGGGATGTAAGATGGTACAGCCACCTGGAAAACGGGTTGGCAGTTTCTTAACAAACTAAACATGCAACCACTGTCGGACCTGGCAACTTCGGGCCAGGGTGTTCATCCCGGAGAAAACGAAGACTGACGTTCACATGACAACTGGTACACAGCTGTTCGTAGTAGCTTTATTCATCATGGTCAAAAACTGGAAGCTACCGAGATGGCCTTGAACCGGTGTGTGGTTAAGCAGACGACATAACCCACACTATGGAGTATACTCTGCAGTGAAAAGGAACGAGCTATGGGCACACACACCACGGCCTGAACAAACCTTCAGAGTGGCCCTGGTGAAGGGAGTCCAGACCAAAAGGTGGTACACCATGAGATTCCATTTATAGAACATTCTTGAAATGATCCAAGTACAGCAATGGAGGCCTTACCAGGGCTGAGAAGGAGGCAGGGATGGGAGGGAAGTTCTGTGGCTTTAAAGGGAGCAGAAGGTCCTGTGGGGGTGGACGTCTGTGCCTGGGCCACAAGTCAGGATCCTGATATTGTCCCCCAGTTGTGCAAGACGCGACCACTGAGGCCGGGCGCGGGGGCTCACGCCTGTAATCCCGGCACTTGGGAGGCCCAGGTGGGTGGATCACCTAAGGTCAGGAGTTCGAGACCTGCCTGACCAACATGGAGAAACCCTGTCTCTACTAAAAATGCCAAAAATTAGTCAGTTGTGGTGGTGGGCACCTGTAATCCCAGCTACTTGGGAGGCTAAGGCAGGAGAATCGCTTGAACCTTTGAGGCGGAGGTTGCAGGGAGCCGAGATCAGGTCACTGTACTCCAGATACAATACACAAGACCTCTCTGTATTATTCCTTACAAATGCATATGAAGCTACAATTATCTCAAAATTAACAGTTTAATTTTAAAAACCAGGCAGCGTGGCTTTGTATTTGGAGCTTGGTCTTTGACCGTGTGTGAGCTGAATGAATGCATGCCTTGGGCCCCATCAGCAGGGAGCAGCGCAGGAATCTCGGTGGTGGGTGGTGGGCGGTGGGCAGTCGGCGCAGCTCCAGGCAGGAGGACCTCACTCTTGGGGGTCTCCCGTGCTGCCCTCCTCAGGTCTCAGGTCCACTATCACACTGCCAGCAGTTTCAGCGTGGTAAGTTTTCAGCCACTTTTGTTTGATTTGTTAATTTAAAAAACATTTCATTGGCCGGGTGCAGTGGCTCATGCCTGTAATCCCAGCACTTTTGGAGGCCGAGGTGGGCAGATCACCTGAGGTCAGAAGTTCGAGACCAGCCTGACCAACATGGAGAAACCCTGTCTCTACTAAAATACAAAAACATGAGCCGGGCGTGGTGGCGCATCCCTGTAATCCCAGCTACTTGGGAGGCTGAGGCAGGAGAATTGCTTGAACCTGGGAGGCGGAGGTTGCGGTGAGCCGAGATTGCGCCCTTGCACTCCAGCCTGGGCAACAAAAGTGAAACTCTGTCTCAAAAAACAAAACAAAACAAAAAACTCATTTCATTAAGGTCATGATTTGGGAGTTTTTACATTTAAAGAAGAAACCAGTATTCCTCAGTCAATCAAGAAAATCGGAGACTCCTCAGCCTCCTCCTTCCAGGGCCACAGAACATTTTGTTCTGTCGTAGCAGGCTGTCACTTCTTTCGTCCTTTCTGGGACTGCGTGGTGTGTTCTGACTGCCTGGGACGGGGTTGTGATGGCCTCAGAATATGTGGGTCACTCAATGGCCATCCTGCCCCCGAGAGCCACAGCATATTTGCCGTTTGTCTTGCTGAATGGAACTGTGCCTTATATCTTCCATGCCTGAAAGAAGCAGAACAGAACTCTGTTTGTTTGTTGGCAAGAACCGGCAAGACACGCAGATGATGAAACGCTGCCTTGCTTCCTTGTCAGTCTGAAATAGGTTTACTTCTGGAGACTGGCAGATAAAAGTGCTTCCGGCTGGGCATAGTGGCTCACGCCTGTAATCCCAGCACTTTGGGAGACTGAGGTGGGTGGATCAACTGAGGTCAGTAGCTCAAGACCAGCATGATCAACATGGTGAAAACTTGTCTCTACTAAAAATATAAAAATTAGCCTGATGTGGTGGCATGCACCTGTAATCCCAGCTACTCGGGAGGTTAAGGCATGAGAAATCGCTTGAACCCAGGAGGTGGAGGTTGCAACGAGCCAAAATTGCGCCACTGAATTCCAGCCTGAGCAACAGAGCAAGACTCTGTCTCAAAAGGAAAAAAAAATGGTGTTTCAGAGTCAAAAGTATGGAAGTTCTCATGGCCAGGCACCTTTGACTTAAGTTCTCATCACTGAATGTTTTCCACAAAGAGGGAGGGTGGCAAGGAAGAGGAGGGAGGTGAACTTGTAAGATAAAAAAAATTGATATAACTGCTCTGTTCAGTCACAGAATAGTTTCTAGTTCAGTATTTCATTCAACAAATGGAAGGAACAAGCCCCAAGGAGGTTAAATAACTTGCCAAAATTTAGAGAGAGAGAGGGGTCCCCCAACCCCGGTCATGTTACCACACTGAATTACAAGACAAAGTTTAAAGGAAAGGCCTATTCCCTAACCCTATGAGATTCTTTCATAACTGGAGAAACAGAAACTGCCACTCTAACCAACCTAAAAGTGAATCAGGAAAGTAACTTGCTTACCTTTCTACATCCTTTTGGATAAATGTCACTTTAAAAATCACAATTATCCCTAATCAGACAATTTAAGAATCTTTGTATTTTCGCTTTAGAGGCAGCTGATGTAATTGGCATAGAAACTTCAGCTCCTAGAAAGTTTCCCACAGAAGGAAAGGGGTGTAAAGGCCTCCCCAGAAATTTTCAGACAGAATGCAAAATGTTTAAAAGGTCATTTTTATGTTTGCTAGTGGATTTTCAGTATTCTGTGATGTGGTATCAACCAAAAAACGATAAATGTGAAGAAGTGGCAGCAAATGATATCCATAGAGAGACCTTTTTTCCGGGATTTATCCTGTTGTAATTGAGTTTTTCCTGGCTGTAAGTTGACTTCAATTCAAGATGTAAAGAAGGCTCATAGACACACCGCTGCATGGGGTACAAGTCTACTCCGCTGGCCGTAACAAAACACCACAGGCTGGGCTTACATTCTTGCAGCTCTGGAGTCTGAGACCAGGGGGCCATCAAGGCTGTTCCTGCTGAGGGCCTCTCCCTGGCAGGCAGATGGCAGCTTCTCGCAGTGTCTTCCCATGACAGAGGGCTCTGCTGTCTCTTCTTATAAGGACACAACCTCATTGGATCAGGGCCCCACCCTTACGAACTTAACTAACTATAAATACTTCCTTATTTGAAAGAGAGCCATGGTGGGGGTTAAGGCATCAACATGAATTTGTGGAGGGACACATACATTCAGTTCCTAACACATAGTAATGCTAAAATGTCTTTTTTTTTTTTTTCTGAGACGGAGTCTCGCTCTGTTGCCCAGGCTGGAGTGCAGTGGCGTGATCCTGGCTCACTGCAAGCTCCGCCTCCCGGGTTCACCCCATTCTCCTGCCCCAGCCTCCCGAGTAGCTGGGACTACAGGCGCCCGCCACCATGCCCGGCTAATTTTTTTTGTATTTTTAGTAGAGACGGGGTTTCACCATATTAGCCAGGATGGTCTCGATCTCCTGACCTTGTGATCCACCCGCCTTGGCCTCCCAAAGTGCTGGGATTACAGGTGTGAGCCACCATGCCTGGACCATGTCTTTTTTTTTTTTTTTGAGACAGAGTCTCACTCTGTCACCCAGGCTGGAGGGCAGTGGTGTGATCTCCGTTCACTGCAACCTCTGCCTTCTGGGTTCAAGTGATTCTCATGCCTCAGCCTCCTGAATAGCTGGGATTACAGGTGCCTATCATAATGCCCAGCTAATTTTTGTATTTTTAGTAGAGACGAGGTTTCACCATGTTGGCCAGGCTGGTCTCGAACTCCTGACCTCAAGTGATCCACCTGCCTTGACCTCCCAAAGTGCTGAGATTACAGGGGTGAGCCACCATGCCCAGCCTTAAAAATGTCTTTATTTTTAAAAATACATTTATAAAATATGAATTATAAACGTGGTTACAATCTATGCTTATATTTTTTGTAATACGTAAAAAATTGGAAACATTTTAAAATCCATAAACACAAGTATCAACAAGCACTTCTTGAATTCCAAATTGCTAACATTTGTTAAAGACTATCAGCAATTTACTGGCCACTAATTCTAAGTACGACTTGGACTGTAATGCACTCCTGAGATTCACAGTGTCAGAGAATCGCCTTTAGACGCCGACTTGAGCCAACCATTTAGGGACTGGATTTAATTAGAAATCAAAGAACACCAGAAACAGAAACTAGAACTTAGGGCCAGGACTTCAAGATGGGAAACAGGAACTCAAAGCTGAAGGCAGCAGGAAAAGTGAGTCACGGGCAGACACCAAGGCAGGGCGGGGGCAACGCCCAGACACGCGTGGGGCTGACAGCAGATGCCCACAGCTGGAGTTTGCCCTGGCACTGGCGCTGGCAGGAAAGGAGTGCTGTTTCCCCAGCGCTGGCTGAGTGGCAGGCACATAGGCTATGCTGTTTCTTCATACCTACAGCAGCATTGCAACGCGAGGTCAGTCCCCATGCAGATGGGGAAGCAGAGACTTGGGGGTGACAGGGCAGGGGCGAGCTGGGGGTTGACATGCAAACCCAAATCTGCCAGCTCCAAGATCCCCCCTCCAACCTCTTCTGGGAGCCATATCCCAGGCTGATGATGTTGAATGATGTCCAGGTTCTCCCTGTGGTGAAAACCAACTAACTACCTTCCCAGGAAACAGGTTTCACCAGCCAGGCCTTGAATGCAATTGTCTTACTAGGAATATTTGGACTTCCCCACCTACCATTCAGGTAACTTGATACAAACACAGCCACTGTTCGGAGGTTGGTAGCAGGTGAATGTTGAAGTTTTAGTCCTCGGCTACACCGTGACAAGTATGTAAATAATTTATGCAGCCAATGTTCAGTACTTTACCACGAATTCTAAAGAAACAGACAAGTCTGACCTCAAAATTCAAGGTGTCTTTGGTTCATTTCTTCCTAATTCCCTTTGTTATGCACCAGTAAGACCGCTTTTTCTTTTTGAATCATGCTATTCATGTTCTTCCGTATTTTCTGCAGCCCTGTAGGGCTGTAAGGCACCCATCCCGCTGAGGCTGCAGTGAGCTTCAATGGTGCCTGTATCAGGTGCTGGGGATAAAGCAGCGGCTCTGATGTTGTGGAGCTTACGTGGACACCACCAAGAAAGCTGCGAAGTAGACACAATTACCCCGGAAATGCCGCTGCACTCCCCGGGCCCTCCCGACCCGGGCCCTCCTGACCTGGGCCCCCCTGCACCTTCCCTCCACTCCATCACCCTCGCCGCTCACTGCTTCCTTCACAACCTTGTTTTAAAAATACTTTATAATGTCAGTCTTAGCTCACCCAATCACCTCTTGGAAAAAGAATTCAACAGAAATCATAACCACTCAGAATGGAGGCTGAAAACTGGCCCTATGTGGTGGCACATGCCTGTGGTCCCAGCTACTCAAAAGGATGAGGTGGGAGGATCATCTGGGCCCAGGAGGTTGAGGCTGCCGTGAGCCATGATCGCACCACTGCACTCCCGCCTGGGTGACAGAGTGAGGCCCTGTCTCGAAAAGACAAAATGAAACACAACAAAAAACCCTGGCCCCAGGTCATCCTCCTGCTATGTTCAAATGCTTGCTGTCCTGTGAAGAGGCTCCATGTGCATCCCACAGATGGATGGAGGTGACAGGAGGAGGGAGGCTGCTGAAGTCCCAGAATAACACACAGCAGGCAAAGTGCCCATCTGTGGTTTCAGAAAGGACTTGTGAGGCCAGGTGCGGTGGCTCATGCCTGTAATCCCAGCACTTTGGAAGGCCGAGGTAGGCAGATCACCTGAGGTCAGGAGTTCAAGACCAACCTGGGCAACATGACGAAACCCTGTCTCTGCTAAAATTACAAAAATCAGCCAGGGGTGGTGGTGTGTGCCTGTAATCCCAGCTACTTGGGAGGCCAAGGCAGGAGAATCTCTTGAACCCAGGAGGCAGAAGCTGCAGTGAGCCGAGACCATGCCACTGCACTCCAGCCTGGGTGACAGAGTGAGACTCTGTCTCAAAAAAAAAAAAAAAAAAAGAAGTCAGCTTGGACTGTGATCATCTGAAAGCTGGAGTGAGGCTGGAGGGCCCAGTTCCAAAAGGCCTCCTTGGCTGTGGGCTCCTCTCCATGTGGGCCTCTCCCAGGGGTGCAGGGAGGCCTAAGATATGTCAGCTGGCTCCCCTCAGAGTGAGATTTCCAGGAGAGGGAAGTTCTTTTCTTATCTCATGGAATCACAAAATTATCAGAATTTTCCATATTTATTATGATCTTCCTGTATGGGTTCCCCACTGATTCAAAGCTGAATATGAGTGACACTTCTAGCATGGGACTGTGGGTGGGGGTGGAGGGACGCACATCCAAACCACATCAGTGGCATATCAGTATCTTTCTTTCTAAAAGTGAGATATATTAACTCATCGTGTGGTACACTTTGCAGAGGCTGTTCCATTGGAAAGAGAACCGACTTCCAGGACAGAGGTTCTTCTGATCTTTGGGCTTGAGTCTGTGCAAATAGGACATTCGTAAAAGAAGATCCTGGTTAAAATAAATTATTTTAGGGAAATGCATCTGACTCCGGAGAAAAAACTTAGGGGAGAGGAGGAACATGGAATCTGGTGTTGGAACCAGTGAGGGATCGGGATCCTGGGAAGGTCACGCAATCAGGCAGCTTCAATCCCTTCTCTGCCCTCATCTTCCGGTTCCCTACAACACCCCCATATTCTTTGACAGAATTATTTCTCACCTCTTCCATTCCTGAGCTGTCTCCATCATGGACTTCTTGTAATAAATCTAGATCTAAACAGGCAAGGGAAAAATAGAAATAGCTAACAAACATGAAAATGTGCTCAAATGACCTTCTTAACATAGGGAATATAAATTAAGGCAAAAATAGATACCTTGGGGAATTTCGAACAGTGGAGAATGTGATTAGAATGTTTCTGAACAGTGGCACATTTGTTCACCTCAAAATTTCAACCAATGTATACTTCTCTAGGTATAGTTCAAGATATACATAATGCAGATTTTTAAAAAAATGTACTGAGCCATACATGCTAGTTTGAGCCTATAATCCCAGGTACTTAGGAGGCTGAGGTGGGAGGATCGCTTGAGCCCAGGAGTTAGAGGCTGCAGGGAGCTATGATCACACCACTGCACTCCAGTCTAGGTGACAGGCTGAGGCCCTGTCTCAAACAAAACAAAACAAAACAAACAAACAAAAAAAGACAAAAAATAAAAAATAAAAAAATAACTGAAATAACAATATAGCACAACAAAAGCATTGCTCTTCTGGTAAACAGGCCATGGAACCCCAGATCACCATAGCACCAGGTGGAATTGCAATCGCTTAAAAAGCAAGATCAGGCCGGGTGCAGTGGCTCGCGCCTGTAATCCCAGCACTTGGGAGGCCAAGGCGGGCGGATCACCTGAGGTTAGGAGTTCAAGACTAGACTGGCCAACATGGTGAGACACCCCCCGCCCATCTCTACCAAAAATACAAAAATTAGCCAGGCATGGTGGCAGGCGCCTGTAATCCCAGCTACTCAGGAGGCTGAGGAAGGAGAATCGCTTGAACCCAGGAGCAGAGGTTGCAGTGAGCCGAGATCATGCCACTGCACTCCAGCCTGGGCGACAAGAGTGAAACTCCGTCTCAAAACAAACAAACAAACAAACAAAACAAAGTAAGCTCATGGGGAATTGGGACTCTCCCTGATTAGCTGGTCTTAAATGGGGGTTGGAGAAGGACTTCCATGAACACAATAGGTGACAACTCTGAAGAGGAGGAAGAGCAGGCTGAGTCCCCAGCACCCACAGGTGGGAGTGGGCAATGAAGTGGACACTGGCAAATGTCCGTCCTCCTCCAAGCACCTGCCTCAAGCATTTTTACAGACCCCATTGTTTCTCCACCCTATCGGTCCACCCTCATCTTCAGCAAACAACCTGACCTCCTCGTCCACAAAACTGAAGTCCGGGGCTCTGAGCTCCTGTCCGTCTTAGAGGAAGTGGGTCCCATGTCCTGGCCAACACTCACCTCTCCAGCTGAGTCTGTGATTTTGCCAAATCAAGATTTTAAGTCCCAACTTTCCATCCAACATTCTCTGCAGTGTTTAGGTCAACCTCTGCTTCTCACCTGCATACAGTAATTTCTATGTGAAACATCTTTTCAAAGTCTCGCAGTGGCCTCCTGGACACAGTCTGGCATTGACCGGCCACCCCAGGATGAGACTAGCTCACACCTCTCCTGCGCTCCCGCACTTCTCCCGTCATGCCTTCTGGTCCAAATGGTTCCATTTTGTCTCTTTCTTATGTACCCCACAAATGCCCGTGCTATTTTTCTGTTTCAAAAACTTTCTTTCCACTGTGGGAAACATGTCAGTCCTTGTTCCTCTAATGCTGCTGGGCTCTTCATGCCCACTTCAGGCACTGGGGCCTCCTCTGGGCAGGCGCCCCCCTCCCCCCGCCACGTTCCTGGCCCAAGACGAGCCTGGCTAACATGGCAAAACGCTGTTTCTACTAAAAATACAAAAATTAGCTGGGCGTGATGGCTCATGCCTGCAATCCCAGCACTTTGGGAGGCCAAGGTGGGAGGATCACTTGAGGTCAGGAGTTTGAGACCAGCCTGGCCAACATGGTGAAACCTCATCTCTGCTAAAAATATAAAAATTAAGCCCGCGCATGGTGGCTCATGCCTGTAATCCCAGCACTTTGGGAGGCCAAGGCAGGCGGATTACCTGAGGTCAAGAGTTTGAGACCAGCCTGACCAATATGGAGAAACCCCGTCCCTACTAAAAATACAAAATTAGCCGGGCGTGGTGGTGCATGCCTGTAATCCCAGCTACTCGGGAGGCTGAGGCAGGAGAATCGCTTGAACCCGGGAGGTGGATGTTGCGGTGAGCCGAGATCGCACCATTGCACTCCAGCCTGGGCAACAAGAGTGAAACTCCGTCTCAAAAAAAAAAAAAAAAAAAAAATTAGCCGGGCGTGGTGGCACATGCCAGTAATCCCAGCTACTCAGGAGGCTGAGGCACGAGAACCGCTTGAACCTGGGAGGTGGAGGTTGCAGTGAGCTGAGATCACACCACTGCGCACTTTAGCCTGGGCGACAGAGCAAGACTCTGTCTCAAAATAAATAAAAATAAAAAGTCAAGTCTCCATATATGTTGGATTAAAAACAATGTCCACTTTGCCAGTTCTCCAGGTGCTTATGAAGTCTGGTTCTCAGCCTCTTCCTGAAACATCCAATCCTCAACTGGGGAGTCTTTCCCAAATCTCATGTCTCATCAACTCATTCCTCTTCTTTATGAGTGCTAAGGCCAGGCAAGTCATCAAGGTGCAAGTGCAGCCTTTTCTCAGGCCTAGAAGATAATTTTATGCCTATGTGTAGACGGGTGCTGTGTAGGTTAAACACCCCAGCAGATTTCTGCAAGAAATCACATGAATACAAGCTGCAGTCCCAGACATCTTAGGCCAGAGTGGTGTTAGTTTCAAAGGAAACACACATCCAACTTCAGGAAGCCGTTTCAGGGCAGCCTAGGCCTTTAATGTGGGCTTCTGCAAAGGCTGTAGCCCTAGAGAGTTATAAAATACATCACAGCAGAGTTTCTCATCTCCCCCTAGAGAGGGTCTTTCCAAAATTACATGTTCCTGCAGACCCTAAACCTCCTAACAGGCCTCACCCTTGCGGTTCCTTCATCCCTGGCTGCTCCCTCCTGTGCCATCCCCTCCCGCCAAGCCTGCACCCTCCTCGCCTGAGCGGGACTCCTTCATTCAACTCCACTGCAGCCTCCCTGGCTTCCCAGGCTGGGAGACCCAGAGCTCTTTCCTACAGCCAGGAAGGGTGGAGTCCTCTCTGACTGCTTTTTGAGCCATACGCTGTCATGGAATGTCTATGACGAATTAAAATCCTTCATCTCATTACTATGTTTTTATTGCCATAGGGAATTTAAAACATGCGAAAGCAGGGAGAAGAGTGTCAGGAACCCTGCCTGTACCCATCACACCCAGCTTCAACAATTTTCACCACGCCACTTGTCCATTATTTCTCACCTGTCTCTACCAACTGCTTCCTCTTTAGATTATTGAGAAGAAAATCCTAAACATAATACCATGGCATTCATAAATAACTGCAGAATGTGTCTCTACAAGATAACTCTCTATTTTGAAGAATTACAAGTTTACAGACAAATTGCAGCCACTTATATATCCTACCCTCGGATTTACCAATTAAGGTTTTGTCATGTTCTCTGAGAGAGAGAGATGTATATATAGACATATACATACAGACACACACATTCATATGTGTGTGTATATTTCACTAAACTTTTTGAGAGAAACTTGCAGATATCTTAACCCCTCACCCCTAAATAATTCATTGCTATCTCCTAAGATAAAAGACATTCTCTTACACAGCCATAAAACAATGAACCAATTCGGCCGGGCGCGGTGGCTCACGCCTGTAATCCCAGCACTTTGGGAGGCCGAGGCGGGCGGATCACAAGAGCAGGAGATCAAGCCTATCCTGGCTAACACGGTGAAACCCTGTCTTTACTAAAAAATACAACAAAAATTAGCCGGGCGTGGTGTTGGGCACCTGTAGTCCCAGCTACTCGGGAGGCTGAGGCAGGAGAATGGCGTGAACCCGGGAGGCGGAGCTTGTAGTGAGCCCAAATCACACCACTGCACTCCAGCCTGGGTGACAGAGCGAGACTCCGTCTCCAAAAAAAAAAAAAAAGAAAAAGAACCAATTCAAGAAATTTAGCCTTGGTTAGAAGACTGACACACAGTCCATATTCAAATCCCAAACTGGCCGTAGTGGCTCACACCTGTAATCCCAGCACTTTGGGAGGCTGAGGCAGGCAGATCACTTGAGTCCAGGAGTTCGAGACCAGCCTGGACAACATGAAGAAACCCTGTCTACTAAAAATACAAAAAGTTAGCCAGGTGTGGTGGTGCGTGCCTGTAGTCCCAGCTACTCAGGAGGCTGAGGCACGAGAATCGCTTGAACCCGGGAGGTGGAGGTTGTAGTGAGCCGAGATCACGCCACTGCACTCCAGCCTGGGAGACAGAGCAAGACTCCGTCTCAAAATAAATAAATAAATAAAAATAAATAAAATAAAATAAAATCCAGTAATGTTAATCACAGCGAATGTTTCCTCTGACCTCGGAGCTAATCTAGGTTTGCCCATGTCATGCTTGACTTCTCTCCTTAGTCTCCTATAATTTGGAAAACTTCCTGAAGTGTTCATTGTCTTTTATGACCTTGACATTTTTAAAGATTATGGGTCATTTGCAGAATGTCCTTCGAGTTTGTCTGATTGTTCCTCGTGATAAGTTTGTGAATTTTAGCCGGAATACCATATAACTGAGGCAGACACATAGTGGTGTGGGGGAGGGGGGGTCAGGCCGCCATTATTAGTGATGCTAACATTGATTACTTGATTCAGATGGGGTCTAACATATTTGTTCACTGTAAAAATACTCCTTTCCCTTTGAAATTAATAAGCAACAAGCAATTAATAAGCTTTGAGGTGGTGTACATAATCTATATCCTCAACAGAGTTTCACCCAATGATTTTAGCATTCATTTGTGATTCCTGCCAGAATTCTGGTGGTTACAAGATAGTGATTTTTAAAATAATTCTGGCCAGGTGTGGTGGCTCACATCTGTAATCCCAGCATTTTGGGAGGTCGAAGTAAGCGGATTGCTTCAGCCCAGGAGTTCGAGACCAGCCTGAGCAACATGATGAAACCTCGTCTCTACAAAAAATGCAAAAATTAGCTGGGCATGGTGGCGCATGCCTGTAGTCCTAGCTACTTGGGAAGCTGAGGCGGGAGGATCACTAGAGCCCAGGAGGTCGAGACTGCAGTGAGCTGGGATTGCGCCACTGCACTCCAGCCTGGGCGACAGAGCAAGACCCTGTCTCCAAAAATAAAAATAAAAAAATCTCTTCTTCATATATTAATCAGCATTTTACTGTAAAGAAGAGCTTTCTTTTTTCCTTCCTCAATGCTACTATTTTTTACTTACCCACTCACGTATATTTCTTAGTATCTGTAAAAGCTCATGCGTTCTTTTTTACTCACAGTATTCAAATGTATTACCACCATTCTTCATTTTAATACTTCCACCTAATTTGCCTAGGCCAGTTCCTTATTGTGTTTCTATTGGAGTGGCTTTTGTGGCTGGAGATACTCCACAGCAAAACCTTCTAAGGGTCTTTCTTGCCTCATAGTAAATCTGGTTTTTTGTTGTTTTTTGGGGGGCGGACAGTTTCACTCTTGTTGCCCAGACTGGAGTGCAATGGCACGATCTCGCTCACTGCAACCTCAGCCTCCTGGGTTTAAGCAATTCTTCTGCCTCAGCCTCACGAGTAGCTGGGACTACAGGCGACCGCCACCACGCCCAGCTAATTTTTTTGTATTTTTGCTAGAGACAGGTGTTTCACCATGTTGGCCAGGCTGGTCTCGAACTCCTGACATTAGATGATACACCCGCCTCGGCCTCCCAACATGCTGGGATTATAGGTTTGAGCTACTGTGTCTGGCCTGCCTCGTAGTAAATCGTGACTCACTGCCTCCTTCTTCCCACCTGTGTCCTTCTCGTGGATGGTTTGTCTCTGGCCCCGGCTTAGTCATCATTTTCTGGTTCCTTCTTAAGTTGGCTTGGACCCCGCTTGTGAGCCACCCAAGCACTCTACACAGCCTCACCTCACCCTCCATCCCTCATCCTCACCCTCCATCCCTCGTTACCTGCTTCTCATCTGTGATGCTCCCCTGATCTCTGCAACATTAGCAGTCCCTGAGACCGCGTAGGTACTCAGTGAATATTTGTTTAATCAATGGGCAAAGGAATAGTCCTAAATCATCAAAAATGAATTTTTGAGCAATGCGGCTACACATTGGAGAAGTAGTGTTTATTTTTTCACAGAAAATGCTTCGGGATAAAATAAAAGAATGTTCACCTGTAATCCCAGCATTTTTGGGAGGCGGAGGCAGGTAGATTACTTGAGGTCAGGAGTTCGAGACCAGCCTGACCAACATGGTGAAACCCTGACTCTACTAAAAACAAAAAACAAACAAAAAAAAAAAACAACAAAAATTAGCTGGGCATCATGGTGCATCCCTGTAATCCCAGCTACTCGGGAGGCTGAGGCAGGAGAATCACTTGAACTCGGTAGGCGCAGGTTGCAGTGAGCCAAGATTGTGCCACTGCACTCCAGCCTGGGAGACAGAGGGAGACTCAAAAAAAAAAAAAAAAAAAAGAAAAGAAAAGAAAAAAGAAAAAGAAAAGAATGTTCTCAGACACCACTTGAAATGTAGGCCTCTGCTAGAGAAATACACATGCTGTATTTGTTTGGTAGAGACTTTGTCCCAAGATCACTGCCCTCGCTGCCTCTGCCCTTGAGGCCTGACCATTTCTTTGGGATGACAGTAGTGTCAGCTGAAAATTGTATGATGTGATGTAGCTCAACAGAGCTACAAACAAGTGCTAATAATAGGGCCCAGAAGGAAAATCAACTGTCTAAAACACTTCAGTGGTTGACATTTGGGCTGTAACTTGAAAAATAAGCGAGATTCCGCCAGAAGGAGACATCCAAGTACAGGAAGCACATTTGAGGCCAGGGGACTCACATCCATTAGGACCTAAGTGCTCAGGCTCCAAAAGAATGCCGCCCTCGACTTCCAGAGCAGCGCAGCGTCTGGAGCTGGGGCACCTCTCCATTTCTTTGTATAGGACTGTCCACACTATGAACTGTGGACTTACCTGTCAACTGTGCAGTCTGGAGTGTAAAGTCTGTATTTTATTCAAGTGTAGACTCATCAACTCCCTCAATACCTTCAAAAATGCTCGGAAAGTGAGTGTGATTGGAAGGTAAGGATGTCTTAGGATAAGGCAGGAAAGGAAACACAGGGGGCTGGGCTGAAGACAGGCTGGGACTAGCGTGTGAAGGGTCTTCTTTCCACAGGAGAACTTGGACTTTATCCTCCTGGGCAGGCAACGGGGAGCCGGTGAAGGTCGCATTGCAGGAGGATGGTGATGAAGCTTTTTAAGGAAACATGTGCTGGCACTGTGAGTAATGGACTGTAGCAGAGACCAACCGCGACGCCACTGAATCAAACCAGGTGAGCAGTAACAACGGCAAAACCACTGGGGGGACGGGGAGAAGGAAAGAGTTTTTAGGTAGGATTGACAGAATTTGTAACCACTTGACATGGGAAATGAGGGAGTGTATCTGATCATGGTTTGAGAAATTTATACTAAAGTTTTAAAAAACTGATCTTGTCTAAGGAGAGATGCCATGAAAATGTATTTCATGTTATAACCTCACATCTCAAGGTGAAAATGGATGTTTCTTCTGAGACACAGGTTTGAAAAAAAGAAGATCATGAGGGAACAAAAAGCCCAGTTCTGATTGTTGGAAAGGATTACACAATACGAAGAGAAAGAAGAGATGGAATTCTTTTAGTTTTAGTTTTTTTCTTTTTCTTTTTTTGAGACAGGGTCTCGCTCTGTCACCCAGGCTGGAATGCGGTGGCACAATCACAGCTCACTGCAGCCTCAACCTCAAGCGATCCTCCCACCTCAGCCTCCTGAGTAGCTGGAACCACAGCCATGCACCACATGCCCGGCTACTTTTGTATAATTTTTTAAAGAAATGGGGCTTTGACATATTGCCCAGACTGGTCTTGAACTCTTGGCCTTGGGCGATCTGCCTGCCTTGGCCTCCTAAAGTGCTGGGATTACAGGCATGAGCCACTGAACCCATCCCATTACTTTCTTTTGTAATAGGTAAGACATAGATGTCTGCTGGAATGTAGACATAGACAAAAAAGATTGAAGTTTAACCTACCAGCCGGGAACGGTGGCTCACGCCTGTAATCCCAGCACTTAGGGAGGCTGAGGCAGGCGGATCACGAGGTCAGGAGATCAAGACCATTCTGGCTAACACGGTGAAACCCCATCTCTACTAAAAATACAAAAAATTAGCTGGGCGTGGTGGCATGCGGCTGTAGTCTCAGCTACTCCGGAGGCTGAGGCAGGAGAATCACTTGAACCCGGGAGACTGAGGTTGCAGTGAGCCGAGATTATGCCACGGCACTCCAGCCGGGGTGACAGAGGGAGAGTCAGTCTCAAAAAAAAAAAAAAGTTTAACCTACCAATTTTGGGGCAGAATTCCTAGACTTATACCACATCAATGGCCCTAGCAATGTTATGAACCAAGAGTAAGCTCCTGTAGGTTATCCGTGGAGGTAAAGGAACCAGGCACCTAAGCAAGGACACTATGGCCTACTGGTCAGGGCAGGTTGTCCAGGTAAGCAAGTTTTCTGAAATATGTACATGCTTTTAATATTAAAGGAAATGTGTCTTATGTCGTTAAATGTTCTTTAAAAACATTACTATGAATATAATTATTTAACTTGCAAATTCCCTTAAAGCTAGGATGCAACAAGGTTTCACAAAGAAGGCACCCAACCTTGATGTCAACAGTCTACCCACTATGGGAAGCCGGAGAGGCTTTCTTCCAAAATGCAGAATTGTCAGCATTTGAACGCTGAGTACGAAAAATTATAAGCACAGGCTGGGTACACCGGCTCCCATCTCTAATCCCAGATTTTGGGGGCCCGAGACAGCACTCTGAGCTCAGAGTGCAGACCTGCATAGAGCAAGACCCTGTATCAAAAAACAAAATTAAAAAAGCAGTTGTAAGCACAGGTACACGGTTAACCATGAATATGGTATCCCTGAAAAGCCGTTTTAATGGGGGAACAAACCTAAAATTTGGAATAATTGATAATATGTGTATATGTAGCCAATCAGAGCAGAAACCAGAAAATCAGGCAGCAAGCTTAAGGGAAACGCAACATACTTTGTTTGGTTTCCTTTTCTTCCATAAACTGATCAGGGGTAGGTAGAGTATGCTGCTATAGTTCGGAGTCGTCACCATCCTCACGGAAACGGCAGGAGTGTGAACACCTCCCTGAGCTACCAAGAGCATCTGACTCGTTGCAACGTGGGCCCGAACCCAGCGCCTCTAGGAAACGTGGGGCCGGGGCCTTTTGGTCCCGGGTGTGGGTTGGGGGTTTGGGGAAGGGCCGGGGCCTTGATCCCAGGTGTGGGGTTGGGGATTCCGGGGCTGAGCCGAGGCCTTGGTTAGGGGTGTGGGGCGGGGGTTCGGGGCAGTGCCGGGGCCTTGGTCCCGGGTGTGGGGTTGGGACTTCGGGGCCGGGACCTTCGTCTCAGGTGTGGGGCGGGAGTTCGGGACAGGGCTGGGGCCTGGGTCCCTGGTGGGGCGTTCGGGGCAGTGCCGGGGCCTTGGTCCCGGGTGTGGGGTGGGAGTTTGGGGCAGGGCCGGGGCCTGGGTCCCGGGTGGGGCGTTCGGGGCAGGGCCGGGGCCTTGGTCCCGGGTGTGGGGTGGGAGTTTGGGGCAGGGCCGGGGCCTGGGTCCCCGGTGGGGCCTTCGGGGCAGGGCCGGGGCCTTGGTCCCGGGTGTGGGGTGGGAGTTCTGGGCAGGGCCGGGGCCTTGGTCCCGGGTGTGGGGTGGGAGTTCTGGGCAGGGCCGGGGCCTTGGTCCCGGGGGTGGGGTGAGGGGTTCGGGGCAGGGCCGGGGCCTTGGTCCCGGGTGTGGGGTGGGAGTTCGGGGCAGGGCCGGGGCCTGGGTCCCGGGTGTGGGGTGAGGTGTTCCGGGCAGGGCCGGGACCTTGATCCCAGCTGTGGGGTGGGAGTTCGGGGAAGGGCCAGGGCGTGTCCTGGGTGGCCAGGGTCGGGGCCTGGGTCCTGGGGGTGGGATGAGGGGTTCGGGGCAGGGCCGGGGCCTTGGTCCAGGGTCTGGGGACAGGCTAGGGCCGGGGTCGCCATCCGTCCTGGGCGGCGGGCAGGGGTCTTTAAGGGGCGCACGCGGTGGCGGAGGACCAGGGCCCAGCCCTCCGGAAGTCAGGGCCCACACGGCCCCCCAGCGTCAGGCGCTCCGGTCGCGCCGGGGACGGCGGGCGGGGCGGGCGGGGCGGGCGGGGCGGACGTGCGGCGTGCGCGGGGCGGGGCGATGTGCGCGCACGCGCCAATCGCAAGGCCGCGAGCAGGGTGTACGCGCGGAGAGGCCAAGAAGGCGGCGGGGCGGGCCGAGCGTCGGGTGCGCCCAATCAGCGCGCCGCAACACCATGACGTGAGGCTCTCCCGGGGCTGAGCGCCAGTCCGCGGGACCGGCGGGTGAGTGCGCGAGTTCAGGGCGCGAGGCGCGGGTCCGCGCGGGGGCGGGACTTCCGCAGGGCCCCGGAAGTGGGAGCTGTGTGTTCTCATGCGAACGGGAAGGAGCGTTGGGGATCTGGAGTCCCGGGGTTGAGACATTTTCGGGCCCGAAAGGGGAAGAATCCGCCGCCGCCGCCGCCGCCAGCTCGCGCCCGCCCTCTCCCCTACCTCCGGCCCGGCCCGGCCCGGCCGCGCCGCCTCTCCCTGCCGTCTCTCTCCTCGCCGTCCCCGCGTGTGGCGCGGCCGCCGGGCCCCGGGGTTGAGGCGAGGAGCCCGCGGGCGGCCGGTCGGGCGGGGCGGCGGCGCTGACAGGTGAGGCACCCTGGGCCGCGGCGGGCCGTCCCTCCCGGCCCAGCTCGGACCCGCGCCGCGCCGCCTGTCACTGCGCCGCCATCTTCCCGGAGGACGCGGCCGCGGCGGGCAGGGCCGGGCCTGGGCCGGGGCCGGGGCCGGGGCAGGGGAAGGCCGGGGCCGGGTTGAGGAGGACCGGGGCTAGGGCACGGGAAGGGCCAGGGCTGAGGAGGACCGGGGTCAGGGCCAGGAAAAAGCCGGGGCTGAGGAGGACCGGGGCCGGGGCAGGGGAAAACTGGGGCTGAGGATGGCCGAGGCCGGGGCAGGGGAAGGCCGGGGCCGGGGCTTAGGAGGACCCGTTGAGGCGAGGCGGGAGTCGACGGAGCTGGGTGCCCGGAAGACCGGGCCGGGGTCAGGGTCGGGAGGCCGGGGTTGGGCGAAGGCCGGCGAGGACGGGGGTCGGGCAGGGCCTGGGCGGGGCCGGGGTCGCGGGCCGCGAGCGCCCCCAGGCCGGGCGGGCGCCGGCACCCGCAGTGCGGCGCCAGCCTTGCCACTCGCTCCTCGGTCCCGCCGGAGCCCGGATAGGCGGCCGTGCGGGTGCGGGGCGGGACGGGTCATCAGGGCATCGCATTCCTTTAGAACCAGGAAGTTGGGATCCTGTTGCTCGGTGTGTGTTTGGAACGCTCCTGTTTTCCTGTTGATAGACTTGAGCAGAGGTGGATCTGAAGGAGTTAAAAAAATAAAGTCAGATGTGAAGATTGCCTGTGTTGGTCTTGGGGCTGGGATACATGGGCGGCAGAGAAGCCATCGGAAAGCTGCTGCACCTGCCTCTCAGGGTGCGCTTGGGAACGTGAAGAGTCTTTCCGTTTCAGTGCCGTTGTGCGTCGAAACTTCATGCGAATGTAATTTTGCTTTTCCCCTTATTTTTACGTAAAACGTTCTTAAAACTTGGCTGAGATGAAACTTGAGAAACCTAGCTGTAGAAAACTACCTCCTATCTGGCTTTCGTTTGAGATTCTCTAAGTGGATGCCCAATAACTTGTCTTAATAGTAAATTGGAAGTTTGAAGTTTTGGATAACTGAGAAAACAGGAAGGTTTTCCTTGACAGGGCAGTGGAGTTTGTAAGTATAAACAGTATGCGTGAGGCCTTTTTCTAGAGATGAGAGCAACTCCAAGGTGAACATTGAAGGGGACAGACAAGTTATTTTCCCTTTCGAAAGTTTTTTTCTCTTAGTTTCAGTTGTTTGAATATTTAAATGCACTTGAAATAGGTGCTGAGTTGTAGTTTGTGAAGACCACAGTGGGGAAGAGTGGTGTCCTCTTTTTTCTTGGTGGTCAGGTGGTGTGTGCAGTGTGCAATTTCCATACTTCCCCAACCTGCCTGGCGCCCCTCATTACAGTCAGGGTAATTTACAGAAGTTGAAATCGTTGTGGCTTTTCAGTTTTTTCTCCTTGTATTTAATATGCTGAAAGGCAGTTTTGTAATCAAACCATATAAGAAATAGCTTAATTGAGGTTTGCTAAGTGAAATGCGTTCCGAAAGGCATCAGATTAACAAGCTTATTATTTAATCATAAATTTAATTTGTGTACTTATCTTTGAAACTTGCATTGGTTAGAAATAAATTTTATCCGGTATTTTGAAAAGTTAATGTGAGTTGAGTTGACTTATTTATATGAAACAAAGGCATGGCTTATTCATTAGAAGTTACCCTCGTGTTGCCTACATTTTCTCAATTGTAACAGGGGGATGATGATAATCTCATTTTCTTAGGACTGTTGTAACACAAACATGGAAATGTTGTCTGGTTTTGCTATTTTCACTATTACTGATTTTTTTCTTCCCCCCCCGAGTTGGAGTCTTGTTCTGTCACCCAGGATGGAGTGCAGTGACACGATCTCAACTCACTACAACCTCCACCTCCTAGGTCTTCAAGTTATTCTCCTGCCTCAGCCCCCCGAGTAGCTGGGATTTACAGGCACATGCCACCACACCTGGCTAATTTTTGTATTTTTAGTAGAGACGGGGTTTCAGCATGTTGCCCAGGCTGGTCTCGAACTCCTGGCCTCAAGTGATCCACCTGCCTTGGCCTCTCAAAGTGTTGGGATTACAGGAGTGAGCCACTGCGCCCAGCTTACTGAATTTTTAAAATATTCTACCTTGTAGCTGTCAATCTATTAGCAGAAAGTTTTGTTTTTGTTTTTGTTTTTTTGTTTTGTTTTTTTTGGCTTGTTTACACATGTATCTGGGCAGAGAAAACAGCTTCTGAGCACAGAATGCATATTTGGAGAAAGCAGTTCCACTCTTTTTGAGTAGGAACCAGACAGAAAAAAAGATAACATGGGTACTATTCTGTAGAAGAGTAGCTGAAATTAAGTGGCAGCAAATTCAGGGAGAAATGTAATTTGGTTTAATGTTCGGGAAGATTGCCATTTTTAAAAGTGAGATTTAAAGAATTTATTGAATTTAATGCAATTTCCATAAGTAAGCACAAGTTTTGACAAGTATATATTTAAGGTGTTTTTATGAAGCAGTCTTCACATTATCTTAAAATGTAGTTCTAAAATACGTGCAGGCTGGGTGAGGTGGCTCATTCCTGTAATCCCAGCACTTTGGGAGGCCTAGGTGAGTTTAGGAGCCCAGGAGTTCACCAGCCTGGGCAACATAGAGAGACCTCATCTCTACCAAAAAATCAAAAAATTAGCCAGGCATGGTGGCTCACACCTGTAGTCCAGCTGTTGGAGAAGCTGAAGTGGGAAGATCGCTTGAGCTTGGGAGGTTGAGGCTGCAGTGAGCCATGATCCTGCCACTGCACTCCATCCTGGACAACAGTGAGACCTTGTCTCCCCCCACCCCCAAAACATGCAAATTGGGACATCAAATTGTTAATGGTGTTTACAATGAACAGTGCCTTCAGGTAGCTGCAGCTACTCTACATAGATTTGCAAGTTTTTGTAGTGATAGGCTATGGTAGATGTTACCAGCCAAGGAGTGGCTGACAAACTCCTTTCACTGTTATTTCATTGTCATGTTAAAATTCATATTTTCCGTCAAAATAGTGATAGCTAGGATTATAATCTAGGTCTTCTAATCTTAGTAACGTGTTGTCTATGTTAGGGCCTCTCAAAGTTGTAAAAAAGCTGTATAGATGTGTTACCATCAATCGATTTCATTTGTTTTTATCCTAGTGTTAAAGGTACAAGTTTTTTTTTTTTTTTCTTTCCTGAGGCGGACTTTCACTCTTGTCGCCCAAGCTGGAGTGCAATGGTGCGTTCTTGGCTCACTGCATCCTCCGCCTCTCGGGTTCAGGTGATTCTCCTGCCTCAGCCTCCCGAGTAGCTGGGATTACAGGTGCCCTCCACCACACCTGGCTAATTTTTTTTTTTTTTGTATTTTTAGTAGAGTTGGGATTTCACCATGTTGGCCAGGCTGGTCTTGAACTCCTGACCGCAGGTGATTCGCCCGCCTCGGCCTCCCAAAGTGCTGGGATTGCAGGCGTGAGCCACGGCGTACCTGGCCAAAGGTACAAGTTTTAAATATGCTTTTATCATGCATACAGTACTCTTATAGATTCTGTCAGATTTAGGGATATTCTTTTCAGATTGATAAATTGCACAAAAATCTTGGAGTATATTCTTGTAATTTCTTCTACAAAATTCTCAAAACAACCTTTTTCCAATGGGGAGAAGACATGAACACTGAAGTCATGTTTTTGGAAAATACCTTGTTAAAAACAGACACTGCTGTAAGGGTTTCCTTGCTTATGCTCTTTTGTAGAACTTTATTGATGTGAAGAGTTCTCCTTTTTCTGTAAAAGCTTATTTTAGAGTACGAAGTAAATGAGGCACTCAGAGAGTTAACCTCATCAGGTCTGAGTTTAGTTCAGTTTAAACTTTTTGCTCTTATGCTGGTTGATATCTTTGTAACTACTCTACTTCTAGAGTTATTTTGATTGGAAAATGAATTCCTTTTTTAGAACATGGAATTGTAAGGTAGAAAACTGCTAGGTTCTCAAAAGAAGGGAGATAAATTCCAACTTGAAAGTTTTTTCCCCTAACGTTCTAATGCTTTGTTTTTCCTGTGTGTAAATGCCTTCCTTAGGAACAAGGAAAATTATTAACTCAGCTGTGTTTCCTTCCCTTCTCTTTCTCACTGCCCCCCCGCCACCCCATACCTTAATACCTTTTGTCCCTTCAATGCCTTTATAAACTCTGTCTTCTCATAGTTTTTCTGGTGAAGCTGTCATGGCTCCTATTTCAACCATAAAGGATTTGCAGTTCAGTGATGCTACTGGTTTTACATCTTCTTTCCCATCAACCCCATTGCCCTGGTTAGGAGACCTAGACCATGGAGTACATTGCAATATTGAAAGTATTTCATGTTTAACACAATTTTTTTTTTTTTTTTTGAGACCGAGTCTCGTTCTGTTGCCCAGGCTGGAGCGCACTGGCACGATCACGGCTCACTGCAACCTCTGCCTCCAGGGTTTAAGCGATTCCCCTGCCTCAGCCTCCTGAGTAGCTGGGACTACATACAGGTGCGTGCCACCACGCCCGGCTAATTTTTGTACTTTAGTACAAATTGGGTTTCACTGTGTTGGCCAGGCTGGTCTTGAACTTCTGACCTCAAGTGACCCATCTGCCTTGGCCTCCCAGAGTGCTGGGATTACAGGCGTGAGCCACTGCGCCCGGCCATGTTTAACACAAATTTGAAAGCGTACTGCTTAGTTTTTTAGGGGGAGTATGATAATCATAGAGATGAGACTTGATCTTTGCTGAAAGTGTTCTTTATGAAGTCTGATGTGCATAAATTTGCCCAATAAAATGCTCTTTTATTTACACAAATCATTTTAGTCGCACTGTAGCCAGAGTGTGGCATAGCCTGATGGCTGGCCTCTTTTCAGAAACTCATCAGGACTGCCCTAGGCCTCGCCCTGTGTGTGCTTCCACTTCTGTGTCTTCCTTCTTGCCCTGCCCCACCTTTTAATCAGGACCACGCCTCCCTCTCCTACCTTGGTGTTGCAAACGTTGTAGCCATTGCTGTTGGTAGATTCTTTGACTGAAATTGAATGTCCACCTCCTTTAAAAAAATTTTTAAAATATTTACTTAGCTCCTTAAACCATCCTTAAAAAGATATTTTAGGAGTCCTCCAGACTGCTTTGCATTAACTTCTGAGATTATGCTTCTCTGTTTCTGTAGCAACTAAGTGTACCTTTGTGTTACTTAGCACATAATTAATGTAAGCTCCTTGTGAGTGAGATTCTCTTTTTATGCTTGTCACCTCTGCCCAGCCCAGGGACTGGTAAACTGTAGATGTTTAGTGAAAGTAATTCAAGTAAAGAGATAAGAATGCTCAAAGACATCTCCCACCTGTGTTCCAGAGAAATTGTTTGCTGATTGTATACTTGCACATTTCTGTAAACAAATAGGAAAATCTTTACTCAAAAAGCATACATTAGAAAGTTTCTTATAGAGTATAAAAGTTATATTTACAAGTTTTTAACTGACTTTTCATAGCTACATTTAGCGCATAAAGTATTTTCAGATAGAGTAATTTAGCCACATGACCTTTAAATTATACTGTTTCTCAGTCTTTAAAAACGTGCCCTCTTTCGGCCAGGCACTTTGATTCACGCCTGTAATCCCAGCACTCTGGGAGGCCGAGGCGGGTGGATCACCTGAGGTTAGGAGTTCGAGACCAGCCTGGCCAACATGGTGAAAACCTGTCTGTACTAAAAATACAAAAATTAGCCAGGCGTGGTGGTGCGTGCTCGTAATCCCAGCTACTTGGGAGGCTGAGGCGGGAGAATTGCTTAAACCCGGGAGGCAGAGGTTGCAGTGATCTGAGATCACACCACTGCACTCCAGCCTGGGCGACAGAGTGAGGCTCTGTCTGAAAAAAAATGAAATAAAATAAAATAAATGCCCCCTTTTAGATAGCCATAGAATTTCTTACCTTTATTTTGCTTTAAAATAAAAACATCATGTTAACCCAAAATGAAACAATTGCAATATTGAAAATGTATCTTTTAAACTTTAGTGGATGTTTTTCCATTTTTTATTTTCTGTTAAGTATTGCTAAAGGGCCTGGCATAAAGGAGGGCCACTGAGATTACGGTAAGAAAAGGGTTCATTTTCTTCCTGTGGCAGGTGTTCTGACCAGTTGAACACTAGGGATGCAAAGATGAAAGGCAACAGGATTTTTCTGTAAGGCCCGTCATCCAGCAGGAATAGGAAAGTGCATTGTTCTATGTAAAGCCATAGAGACTGGCCTCTGGAAGTGGCTGGCTCTCAGCTGCATGCTTCTTTGGATAGTCTGCTACAACAGTCACATATATTATGGTGTATCCTGCCCTGCACTCTCCTTGTCTCCCCTTCTTGCTGTACTTTTTTCATAGTATTTATGACACTATAACATACCATATAATTTACTTACTAATTTATGTATGGCCCGTCTTCTCATACTTGAATGTAAACTCTTATGAGATCAAGATTTATATTTTGCTCCTCAGTATGAACCTAAGCCTTAGAACAATATCTGGTAGGTAGCATGCGCTAAATAGTTGATGAGTAGATCCCAGTATGGTGAACAAGAGGGATAGATTGCCATCTCTTGGAGTTTGGTGTCCATTGAGACAGGTGGACAATCACATAATCCAATAAGAAAGTGCAGTGCACTGACATCCGGCCTGGATGGGAGGGATCAGAAGGCTTCCCTGAGGTTGTGATGGTGGCACCGAGGTTGGAGGGATGGTGGTGGAGTGAGAGGTCAGCAGAGAGAATTACCTGTGTAGTGCCCCAAGTGGGAAAGGTGCAGAGTGCTTTGAAGGAACTAGTGTGAACAAGGCTGAAGGAAGAGAACGCGGCTGGGAGGTAGGTGGAGAGTTTTATTTTACAGAGCTTGGGAGGTCCCATATAGGTTGATTATTTTGCCCTTTATCCTAAGACCAGTGGGAAGCAGTTGGAGGATTTTATGTCATAGAATTGTCTTTTTTAAATGATTCTGCTTTGCAGAGTCGTGTGGAAGCAGGGAGTGGTCACATGTGGGTGTTACTGGGCGGCAAGGTAGGGAATCTCTTTCTTCTTGTGTACACCTCTCTTCATAGTTGAAAAGGCCAAGCCCCAGTCTAAATGAGACCAGCCAGCTTCCTTAAAATCCCTTTAATTTGTATTACATATAATCGTGTATGTTTAAAAAATATTTTATTTTTTTGAGACAGTTTGTGTCACCCAGGCTGGAGTCCAGTGGCATGCTCACAGCTCTCTGCAGCCTCGACCTGGGCTTGAGCGATCTTGCCACCTTAGCCTCCCGAGTAGCTGGGACCCATGGGTGCATGCCACCACACCTGGCTAATTAAAAAAAAAATTTTTTTTTGTAGAGGTGGCGGGTCTCACTATGTTGCCCAGTCTGGTCTCGAATTCCTGGGTTCAAGCAGTCCCAGAGTGTTGGGATTACAGATGTGAGCCATTGCACCTGGCCTAAAAATGCTTTAAAATTTGTTTATAAAATATGTCTTAAATTTGCTAATATTTGCCAGTTGTTTAAAGTATATTTGTTATTTCAGATAATTTCAAACATGCCTTTTTTAGGAGTGTCTCTGAAAAATGAGAACATTTTGTTTTCACATTTCAGAGAGCTTTGTTTTTATTGTCAGTGCTCAAAATACAGAGATGAAAACCTAGTGATCAATTTGGTATAGATGTACAAATTGCTTCAGTTATTGTTATCTGTTAACATGTTGAACATTCTCTTTTTAAAAATATCAGGTCCTTTAAAATTTTCTTTAAAGGTGGCTTCATGCTTTTCTGAGCATTCTTTTTATCTTTGTTGATTACATATTTGTATTTCATTGTTGAGATTATCGTCTGTGTAATTTTTGCCTTATCAGTCAGAGAATACCAGTAACCTTTAGGAGGCATGTACAGATTTTTTTTTTTTTTTTTACTGGGTCCATAAAGGGGGAAAGTTTGGTCAGGTTGGGGAGCAGTCACACTTCTTCCTGAGAGGTAGTAAATACCAGGCTCTCCATCTGGAGGAGGGGTCAGTAAATCACGTTTGCAAAGGAAAAGATGCGGTAATTGGTAGGATTCAGACCTGTGCCGGGAAACCCCAATGGATTTCTAGTTCATTGCTTTAACCATTCAGTCCTGACTTTAAAAGTAGACTTGAAGTCCCTATGGGAAGCTACCTTCTAAAAATCTAGACATTTGAAAGGATGAAAGCATTGTCTCTTGTGCTTTTAGGAGGTTAAAAACATTTAAACCACGGATAGAACACTGGCATTTAGTGTTTCTTGAGTACTGTAAATACAGTAGCTTACTGTGAAAGTCTTTTTGGGTGGACTTCTGTCTGGCATGATTTGTTTTTTTTTTTGAGGTGGAGTCTCACCTGTTTCCCAGGCTGGAGTGCAGTGGCACAGTCTCCGCTCACTGGAAGTTCTGCCTCCCAGGTTCACGCCATTCTCCTGCCTCAGCCTCCCAAGTAACTGGGACTGCAGGCGTGTGCCACCACGCCCAGCTGATTTCTTTGTATTTTTAGTAGAGACGGGGTTTCACCATGTTAGCCAGGATGGACTCAATCTCCTGACCTCAAGCAATCTGCCTGCCTTGGCCTCCCAAAGTGTTGGGATTACAGGCGTGAGCCACTGTGCCCGGCCTGCGTAGCATGATTTTAAGTTCTATGTTCCATATTCCTCTGTGGTTAATATCCATACCTCCAGTGATACTTGTTATTTATTTATTTATTTATTTATTTATTTATTTATTTATTTAACAGACGGGGTCTCGTTCTGTTGCCCAGGCTGCAGGAGTGGAGTGTAGTGGTGTGGCCACTGCTCACTGCAGCCTCCAATTTCTGAGCTCCAGTGATCCTCCTGGCTATTTAAATAATAATTTTTTGAGACATGAGGTCTTGCCATGTCACCCAGGCTGGCCTCAGTCTCCTGGCCTCAAGTGATCCTCCAGCCTCAGCCTCCCAGGTTGCTGGGAATATGAGTGTGAGCCCCTGTGCCTTGCTCCATTGACAGTTGTTACCAGGCTAAATTGCTAGTTCAGGTTGCCTTTCAGTGGGTCACTTGGAGCAGGGGTCCCTAACTCCCAGGTTGTCCGACCCGTACCCATCATGGCCTGGTAGGAACTGCGCTGCACAGCAGGAGGTGAGCAGCAGGGTGAGTGAGCATTACTGCCTGAGCTCCACCTCCTCTCAGATGAGCAGTTGCGCTAGATTCTCATAAGAGCTCAAATCCTACTGTGCACTGCACATGCAAGGGATCTAGGTCGCATGCTCCTTATGAGAATCTAGTGCCTGATGATCTGAGGTGGAACAGTTTCATCCTGAAAGCATCCTCCTCACCACCCCCCACCCCCTGACCCCTCCGCTCTGTCTGTGGAAAAATTGTCTTGCATGAAACCTGTCAGTCCCTGGTGCCAAAAAAGATTGGTTACCGCTGACTTGGAGTACTGACCATTGTGAAAATGAGTAACTGATGAATCAGCAATAGTTGCTTCTTCACGCTGTCAGTGAAGACCAAAGAATGAATATGGGAAGCAGTATTACCAGTGTTGCTGCGTGTGCACGTGGCCTTCAGTTTTTCCCTGCTCTTCCCATTTCTTTGTACACACCGATGAATTTAATCTCTTCTGCTGAAATCATTATTCTTTAGGGCTCAGTACAGGAGAGTTAAACCTAAGCATGAAAGGACTGGAAATGGGATGTAGAATTGCCAAATAAACTGTAGAAGCATTGAGGCACTTAAAAATCTCCATGACCTGGAGAAATTCCAGTGAAGAGTAAACTTTTGCAGTGTGCCTTAGGATTCCGAGTGACCACAAGTTTTATTATCTTTCAGGCAAGGCCACACAGATTCTTGGCATACTATTTCCTGTAAGTTCAGAATTTTGGAAGTGTGTTGGTCATTGTGGTAGTCCTCCCCCTCCCCGCGTCCCCCTGCCAACCTTACAGGAAAGAAAGAAGTGGTAGTTTTATTCTGTTATTGAGAATAGGTTTTTCATGAAATCACATGAAGTTACAGCTCAACATAAATAACTGTAGACTAGATGTTTTCCCAAAATCGTTATATGGCCACAAATTGTGTTAGATAATTATATGAGCAAGGCAAATAAATGCTGGATCATTAACTTCCAGTTTTCTTTCTTTCTTTTTCTTTTTTTTTTTGAGATGGAGTTTCACTCTTGTTGCCCAGGCTGGAGTGCAATGGTGCGATCTCGGCTCACTGCAACCTCCACCTCCTGGGTTCAAGCGATTCTCCTGCCCCAGCCTCCTGAGTAGCTGGGATTACAGGCATGCACCACCACGCCTGGCTAGTTTTGTATTTTTAGTAGAGACAGGGTTTCTCCATGTTGGTCAGGCTGCTCTCGAACTCCCCACCTCAGGTGATCCGCCTGCCTTGGCCTCCCAAAGTGCTGGGATTACAGGTGTGAGCCACCATGCCTGACCCTTAACTTCCAGTTTTCAATTTGATGTTGGGAAGTGTGGTTAGGTAAATTTATTGTAAAGCATATATTTACGAAATGTTTAATAATAATAATAGTGAACATAACATTTAATCAGCCTTAACCCAGTTGCATGGAGTGTTTTCTTTTTATCAGTTCCATCGTTATCAGTCTGGAATTAAAAGACTGAAGGAACCTTTAATTCTTTTTAATTCCTTTTTTTTGAGACAGAGTCTCACTTTGTCCCCCAGGCTGAAGTGCAGTGGCTGTATCTTGGCTCACTGCAATCATCACCTCCTGGGTTCAAGTGATTCTCGTGCTTCAACCTCCAGAGTAGCCAGGACTACAGGCACGTCACCATGCCCAGCTTATTTTTATAGTTTTAGTAGAGACAGGGTTTCTCCATATTGGCCAGGCTGGTCTGCAACTCCTGGCCTCAAGTGATCTGCCTGCCTTGGCCTCCCAAAGTGCTGGGATTACAGGCCTGAGCCACTGTGTCTGGCCTGATTAATTCTTAATTCATAAAATGTTAGGTGTGAATTAAATAGTACTTTTGAAGTAAGATGTTTATATTCTAAGACTGTGAGTTTTGTTCTACGTTATTTTGTCAACTGAGATTTGGTAACTAGTTTGTGAAAATAATTGTCAGAAAAACAGTGTAATATTGCAGTTGCAGTCTTAGGATTTTAGATCTCTGAAGACTCAGAAACTGAAGCCCATGAGGTAAAATTAATTAGAGATACAGCTGGCTAGTTGGTGACAGAGCTAGGACTGTAACGAGCCTCCTCTTTAAGTCCAGCATCCCGTTGCACTGTAATTGCAGAGTTTACTGTGGTCGCTGTTAAGGCGCACCCTCCGCTGTGGTATATCAAAAGAAATTGGTGAAAGCATTAATTTTATGTATGTTAGATAATTTAAATAAGTGTTTTAACTTTTTGAGGTAGATTTTTAAAGCAGTTATTAGACTGTGCTTTTTAAAAGATTGAAATATATTTACTCCAGGAAAATTAAGTGTTTTGTCATTTTAGATAATCCATTAACCTTAATCCAAATAGGGAGGTGCTAATTGGTGTTCTGGTTAACACCCTCCGGTTTGTATCGTGTAATCAGACTGCAGCTTACAGTTCATCTTTGAGAAATAGTCTAAGAGAAATTCATGTAAATTAAATGGTTTTCTTCCTAAAGCATTCAGGGAGAGTTGTTCATTTTAACGTCCACGCTGTTAACACAGGAGTCTGTGTGCAGTCTTGGATCCAACTTCAACACCTGTGTTCATACCCGTCACCTTTGTGTAGAGGAACTCACACTAGAGATAATGTGACTTGCTGTGAGCTCTCCTGGCCTTTGGTTTACTGTCCTCAGGCAACTGTGGTGTGTGTCAGGATCTTTCACACTATCTTACACTCTTAAGAAACTACAGCAAATTGCAACAACTCCCACCCTCAACAATGTATTGGACTTGTAATTCAGAGGATTGAAAGCCCCCTCCCTTTTTTCCCCCCATTTATTCTTCAGAACACTTGTTTTACTGTTTGGGAAACTGAGTCTTGGTGACAGTTTGCTTTACATCATCCAATACAGGAAGAACAGAAAATGGGAACTTTATAGCTTCTTGCTTATAAGCCTTTTGCGTGGCAGGAGAGAATTCTACCACTGAACGACCCATGCACCGATGCTTATAAGCCTTTTGCAAGTAATACCCAGCTCTTAGAGAGGGTCAGCGTTCTGTGCAGCACCTTGGATCCAAATAACATGATGTATTTGGGGGCTTAAGTCACACATCATAGTTCAGCATCAGAGATACAGGCCCTGTACTTAATAGTTTAATAACTTAATTATTTAAATATTTAATAGTTGAATAATTACTGTTAAACAAAGTATTAATAGTAATTTTCATTGTGGTTA